>NT_187516.1:300000-425601 GCF_000001405.40 Homo sapiens | reverse complement strand
GAATTCAGCTATAAATCTGTATGGTCCTGGGCTAGTTTTGGTTGGTAGGCTATTTATTACTGCCTCAATTTTAGAACTCACTGTTGGTCTATTCAGGGATTCAATTTCTTTCTGGTTCAGTCTTGGGAGGGTATATGTGTCCAGGAATTTATCCATTTCTCCTAGATTTTCTAGTTTATGTATATATAGGTATTTATAGTATTCTCTGATGGTTGTTTGTATTTCTGTGGGATCAGTGGTGATATCCCCCTTATCCTTTCTGACTGTATCTATTTGGTTCGTCTCTCTTTTCTTCTTTATTAGTCTAGCTAGTGGTCTATTTTATTTTTTTCAAAAAACCAACTCAGATTCATTGATTTTTTTTGAAGTTTTTTTTGTGTGTGTGTCTCTATCTCCTTCAGTTCCCTTCTGATCTTGGTTATTTCTTGTCTTCTGCCTGCTTTGGGGTTTGTTTGCTCTTGGTTCTCTAGTTCTTTTCGTTGTGATGTTAGGTTGTGTATTTGAAATCTTTCTAGCTTTTTGAGGGCATTTAGTGCCATAAATTTCCCTCTTAGCACTGCTTTAGCTGCATCTCAGAGATTCTGGTATGTTGTCTCTTTGTTCTCATTAGCTTCAAAGAACTTCTTGATTTCTGCCTTAATTTCATTGTTTACCCAGGGGCCATTCAAGAGCAGGTTGTTCAATTTCCATGTATTTGTGTGGTTGTGGGTGAGTTTCTTAATCTTGAGTTCTAATTTGATTGTGCTGTGGTCTGAGAGATTGTTTGTTAAGATTTCAGTTATTTTGTGTTTGCCGAGGAGTGTTTTACTTCCAATTATGTGATGATTTTGGAGCAAGAGCCACGTGGCAATGAGAAGAATGTATATGCTGCTGTTTTTGGGTGGAGAGTTCTGTAGATATCTATCAGGTACACTTGACCCAGAGCTGAGTGCAGGTCCTGAATAGCTTTGTTAATTTTCTGTCTCATTGATCTGTCTAATATTGACAGTGGGGTGTTAAAGTCTCCCACTGTTATTGTGTGGGAGTCTAAGTCTCTTGGTAGGTCTCTAAGAACTGGCTTTATGAATTTGGGTGCTCTTGTATTAGATGCATATATATATATTGGGTGCATATGTATTTAGGATAGTTAGCTCTTCTTGGTGAATTGAACCCTTTACCATCATGTAATGCCCTTCTTTGTTTTTTGTTTGTTTGTTGGTTTGTTTGTTTTTTGAGACAGAGTCTTTGCCACCCAGGCTGGAGTTCAGTGGTGCGATCTTGCCTCACTGCAGTCTTTACCTCCTGGGTTCAAGCAATTCTTGTGCCTCAGCCTCCCAAGTAGCTGGGATTACAGGTGTGCACTGCCACGCCCTGCTAATTTTTGTATTTTTATTACAGACGGGCTTTTGCCACGTTGGCCAGGATGATCTCACACTCCTGATTTCAAGTTACCCACCAGCCTTGGCCTCCCAAAGTGCTAGGGTTACAGACATAAGCCACTGTGCCCGGCCTTCTTTGTCTTTTTTGATTTTTTGTTGGTTTAATCTCTGTTTTGCTGGAACCAGATTTGCTCTCCCTGCTTTTTCCTGTTTTCCATTTGCTTGGTAAAATTTCCTTCATCCCTTTATTTTGAGCGTGTGTGTGTCTTTGCATATGAGATGTATCTCTTGAATACGGCACACTGATAGGGCTTGATTCTTTATCCAGCTTGCCATTCTGTGTCTTTTAATTGGGGCATTTAGCCTGTTTACATTTAAGGTTAATACTGTTATGTGTGAATTTGATCCTGTCATCATGATGCTAGCTGGTTATTTTTGCAGACTTGTTTATATAGCTGCTTCGTAGTGTCACTGGTCTGTGTACTTTAGTGTATTTTTGTAGTGGCTGATAATGGTTTTTCTTTCCATATTCAGTGCTTCCTTCAGGAACTCTTGCAAGGCACCCTGGTGGTGTTGAATTCTCTCAGCGTTTGCTTATCTGAAAAGGATCTTCTTTCTCCTTTGGTTATGAAGCTTAGTTTGTCCAGTTATGAAATTCTGGGTTGGAAATTCTTTAAGAATGTTGAATATTGCCCCCAAATCTCTGGCTTGTGGGGTTTCCACTAAGAGGTCTGCTATGAGTCTGATGGGCTTCCATTTGTAAGTGACCTGGTCTTTATCTCTGGCTGCCCTTAACATTTTGTCTTTCATTTCAACCTTGGAGAATCTGATGATTATGTGTCTTAGGGTTGATCTTCTCATGGAATGTCTTACTGGGGTTCTCTGCATTTCCTGAATTTGAATGTTGGCCTGTCTTTCTAGGTTGGGGAAGTTCTGGATGATATCCTGAAGTATGTTTTCCAACTTGGTTTCATTTTCCCCATCTCTTTCAGCTACCCCAATTAGTCATAGGTTCGGTCTTTTTACATAATCCCACATTTCTCGGAGGTTTTGTTTGTTCCTTTTTTTTTTCCTCTATTCTTGTTTGTTTATCTTAATTCAGCCAGATAGTTTTCAAGCTCTGAGATTCTTCTCCCGCTTGGTCTGTTTGGCTGTTGATACTTGTGATTGCATTATTGTGAAGTTCTTGTGTTGTGGTTTTCAGCTGCATCAGGTCATTTCTGTTCTTCCCTAAACTGGTTATTCTGGTTATCAGCTCCTGTAATGTTTTATCATGATTCTTCTCTGTTTCGCACTGGGTTAGAACACGGTCCTTTGGCTCAGTGAAGTTTGCTATTACCCACCTTCTGAAGCCTGCTTCTGGCAATGTATCCATCTCAGTCTCAGCCCAGTTCTGTGGCCTGGCTGGACAGATGCTGCCATCATTTGAAGGAGAAGAAACACTCTGGCTTTTTGAGTTTTTAACATCTTTGTGTTGATTCTTTCTCATCTTTGTGGACTTATCTACTTTTGATCTTTGGGTTTGCTAACGTTTTAATGGGTTTTTATGGGGTCTGTGCTGTTGTTGTTTTTCTTTCTGTTTGTTTTTCTTTTAATAGGCCCCTTTTTGTAGGGCTACTGTGGTTTGCTGGAGGTCCACTCCAGACCCTAGTTGCCTTGGACCCTCCTGCACCTAGAGGTATCACCAGTGAAGGCTGCAAAACAGCAAATATGACAGCCTGCTCCTTCCTCTGGGAGCTCCATCCCAGGGGTCCCGACCTGATGCTGGCCCAAATGCTCCTCTAGAAGGTGTCTGGAGACCCCTATTGGGAGGTCTTACCCAGTCAGGAGGAATGGGACCCATTTAAAGAAGCAGTCTGGCTGCCCCTTGGCAGAGCAGGTGTGCTGCAGTGGGAGGAGCCCCTCTTTTCCAGATCACCTGGACTTTCCAGAGCCAGCAGGCTGAACCATAGATACGGTGGCCGCCCCTCCCCACAGTGGCTCCATCCCAGGGAGAGATCGGAGTTATGAAATTCCCACAGGGAGGCCCCACCCAGTGAGGAGGGATGGGTCAGGGTCCCACTTAAAGAAGCAGCCTGGCCGCGATCTACCACAGCAGCTGGCTGCGCGGCATGGCGCTGAATTCCTTTTGGTCTGGACCTTGCAGACTCCTGGAGTTGGCAGGCCAAAATGGCTGACTTGAGCCATGTAGATGGCGGCTGCCCCTCCCCCTGGGAACTTGGTCATCTCCGGCAATCTCCAGCCTGCTCCCACAGGCTGGCTAGAATTCCAAGTCAGTGGGTTTTAACTCGTGAGGTGCTATGGGAGTGGGGCCTGCAGGATGACGCTGCTTAGTGTCCTGGCTTTAGCCCCCTTCCTAGGGGAAAGCTTGGAAGATCTCCTGTCTCACTGGAATTCCCGGGGTGGAGTATGCAAGAAACTCCTGGGTCTTTGTGCATGGCCAAGCAGCTGCGAGAGTTCACACAGCTCTGTGCTTGGGAACCAAGGCCTTGCTGGGTGCACAAGGGGATCTCCTGATCTGCGGGTTGCAAAGATCCATGGGAAAAGCATGGCTTCCTGGGGGGGCGTTGTACAATCACTCACCACCTTTCTTGCCTGGGGTGAGGGCTCACCTGGTTCCACCCCGCTCAAGGGTGGGCTGTTGCCCCACCCTGCTTTTCCTCACTCTCTTGGGTTGCACGGACCACCCAGGCAGGCCCAATGCAATGGTTATTTTGTGGTCTTCTCCTTCTTATTTCCTTCCTTCCTGTCTTTCTTTTAGTGAAAGTGATTTTCTCTGGTGGTAGGATTTAATTTCTTGCTTTTTATTTTTGGCATATCCATTGTATGTTTTTTGATTTGAGGTTACCATTAGGCTTACAAATAATATCTATTACCCATTATTTTAAGACTGCTTGCATAAACAAAGAAGCAAAAAATCCTAATAATGGTTAGGTTAACTACACTTTAATTTCATCCCGTGTTTTTTAACTTTTTAAATTTATATATTAAATTTATATATTTTTAACTTTTAAATGTATGTATTATTGTATTGTCTATGTCTTGAATAGTTGTAGTTATTATTTTTTATTAGTTCATCTTTTAGTCTTTTCTACTCAAGGTAAGAGTAGTTTACAAGCCAGAGTTACAATGTTTAATATTCTGTGTTTTTCTGTGTGCTTACTATTACCAGTAAGTTTTGTATTTTCAGATGATTTCTTATTGCTCATTAACATCCTTTTCTTTCTGATTGAAATACTTCCTTTAACATTTCTTGTAGGACAGTTCTAGTCTTTGTTGAAATCCCTCAGCCTTTGTTTATCTGAGAAAGTATTCTTCCTTCATGTATGAAGGATATTTTCGATAGATATTCTATTCTAGGGTAAAAGTTTTTTTCCTTCAGCACTTTAAATATGCTCTTCTCGACTATCAGTTCTCCACTGAGAAGTCGGCTGCTAGCTATATTGAAACTCCAATGGGTTATTTGTTTCTTTTATTTTGCTGCTTTTAGGATCTTTTCTTTATTGTTGACCTTTGGGAGTTTGATTTTTAAATGCTTCGAGGTAGTCTTCTTTGAGTTAAATCTGCTTGGTGTTCTGTAGCCTTCTTTTACTTAGATATTGATATCTTCTGGGTTTGAGGTGTTCTCTGTTAACCCTTTGAATAAACTTTCTATCCCTATCTCCTTCTCTACCTCCTCTTTAAGGCCAATAACGGATGCATTCTTCAGTATGTCATTTGCAATTTCAGCTCCAGAATTTCTGCTTGATTCTTTTTAATTATTTTAATCTCTTTGTTCAATTTATGTGATAGAATTCTGAATTCCATTTCTGTGTTATCTTGAATTTCTCAGAGTTTCCTCAAAATGGCTGTTTTGAATTCTCTGTCTGAAAAGTTGCATATCTCTGTTTCTCTGGGATTGTTCCCTGATGCCTGATTTAGTTCATTTGGTGAGGCCACATTTTCCTGAATGGTTTTGATGCTTGTGGATGTTCTTTGGTGTCTGGGCATTGAAGAGTTAGGTACTTATAGTCTTTGCAATCTGGGCTGTTTGTGCCTGTTCTTCTTGGGAAGGCTTTTGAGGTATTTGAAAGGACTTGGGTGTGTTATCTAAGTCATGTTTGTATTACAAGGCACCCCAAGCCTGGTAACACTGTGGTTCTTGCAGACTCATAGAGGTACCACCTTTGTGGTCTTGGATAAGATCTGCAAGCGTTCTCTGGATACCAAGCAAAGATTCTTGTTCTCTTCCCTTACTTTCTCCCAAACAAACATAGTCTCTCTCTCTGTGCTGAGCTACCTGGAGTTGGGTGTGAGGTGACACAAGCTCCCCTGTGGCCACTATCACTGGGGCTGCACTGGTCAGACCTGAAGCCAGCACAGTAGTGAGTTTCACCCAAGGCCTGCTAGAAGCACTACCTGGCTATGGCCTATATTTGCTCGAGGCCCTGGGGCTTTACAGTAAGCAGGTGGTGAAGCCAACCAGGCATGTGTCCTTCTCTTCAGGGCATTGGGTTCCCTTAGGCCCTGGGCAGGTCCAGAGGTGCTGTCCAGGAGCCACGTACTGGAACCAAAATCCTTAGAAATATACCTGGTGTTCTATTCTACTGCAGCTGAGCTGGCACTCAAACCATGAGTCCCAGCTCTTCCCACTCTTTCGTCCCGTTTCCACAGGCAGCCCATGGCTACCACCACCTGGATATTACTTGGATATTGCTGCTGGTTATTCAGGACCCAGGAGCTCTTTAGCCAGCAGGTGATGGATCCTGATAGCACTGGGTCCTTCCTTTCAAAGCAGTGGGTTCCCTTTTGGCCCTGGGTGTGTCTGGAAATGTCATCCAGGAGGAAGGACCTGAAATGGGGACTTCACAACTCTGACTAGTGCCCTATCCTACTTTGGGTGAGCTGGTACCCAAGATGTAAGACAAAGTTCTCTTTACTCTTTACTCTTCCCTCCCCTCTCCTCAAGCAGAATGGAGGGATCTCTTTTGGAGCCAAGAGCTGTGCTGCCTGGGGTTGGGGAAGGACTGGTGCAAACACTCCTTTAGCTGTGTTGGGTGGTGTCTCAGTAGGTCGCATGCTCCCCAAGCCCACTGGCTTCGAGCCCAGCTCAGCACTAGGACTTGCCTAAGAGTTACAGTCCTTGTGGTATAGACTGCCTTTTAGGTTTATTTATGGCCCCAGAGCACTTTAGCCCATGGTGGTGAGGCTTGCTGGAACTCAGATTCCCCCCACGGGGACAGCGGTTCCCCTCCAGCTTGGGCCCATCTGAATGCTCCCTCCCTGGGCGTTCATCAGTTGAGTTCAGTCTGGTTTTGCTTTCTACTGTGACAGGGCAGTGCTGAGTTCAGTGTAAAGTCTCATAATCACTGTGCTGTCTCTCCTGAGTGCACAGGTTCTTGCTCTGTGCCACATGGCCGCTGTTGGGCGATGGAGGAAGTGGGGCACTGGCAATTCAGGACTCTCCTTGCTACCTTCCTTGGTGCCTCTTTCAGTGATAGAATTAAAACCAGGGACTGTGAGTGCTCACCTGATTGTTGGTTTTATAAAGATGCTGTCTTTATGTGGATAGCTGTTGAATTTGGCATTCCTGCTGTGGGGACAATCAGTGGAGCCTTGTAGTCAGCCATTTTGCTCCACCCCTCCCCCAGACTAGCAGTCTTGATCACCTTAATTCCACTTCATGAATTGAGATAATTTGTTGCTGAGTTTTAGTCGACTTCCATCACCCTTAGTCCTAGGGTACAGTTCTTTGAGATCTCAGCCCCAAAATGGAGGGAATTATTAGGCCCTCATTGATGAGTCCTAGACTCCAGTTTTTGCCTCCTAGTTTCTTGAAACTGAGAAGTGCTGCTCAGCTTTTCAGCTTCTTCAGCCTCTTTTGAAATAGAGTAGTGAGAGTCGATACCAAAATATTCAGTGCTTTCAATAGTGTGATAAAGGATATTGACTTAATCTCCAGTCAGGAGGCTTGTACTTCATTAAAAGTGGCCTCTAGGAGTGCTCTGAAGTTCATAAGAGCATCATAATCATACTGTGTCTGGCCCCTCTAGATGACCAGATAAATCATGGTAATTTTTTTTAAAAAATGGTAGAATCATCTAAGAGTGCTTTATAAGCTACAGCTTATAAGTTCCATTGGCTCTTTCCTCTGCTTTAGAACATACGAAGACATGTTGCTACATGTGTGTTGTAACTAGGGGTGGGGATGCCCGCATTTTGTGAGTGAAGGTAACTTATAGCAGGGCCCCTGTGCAGGCCCTCTCATTCTGCTAGACTAAATTCAGAACCAAGTGTCACCAGGAACAGAAGGAACAACAAAAATAACTACTATAGATTAAGGCTGCAAGGTAGTTGATTTGACTCAAGTTTCCAACAGAGCCCTTGAGATGGACAAAGGTGCTGGTGCCGGCGTCCTCTGCAGCCCGAGCAGTAAGGCTAGAGGTGAACAAGTTGTCACCGCAGGCTTTTCTGAAGGAAAGAGGCAGACAGTTCCCCTTCTCTCCAGCTCTATATCCCTGCCACCTTCTCCCCAGGGCTTCCTGGTCTTGATCTACCTTATCTACAGCACAGTTTCAAGATGGCCGTCCAAATGCCTGGAGTTTTCCAGGGCAGTCCCACATTGCATTCGTTTTGGCTTTCGTCCATTGAAATGTGAAATTCTAGTATTTTGACAACCAATCTACCTTAAAACATTTTGTTATAAAAGGTACATAATGTATGCTTTACCATTCTAACCATTTTAAAATAGAAAGCTCAGTGGCATTAAGTACATTCGCATTGTTCTTCAGCCGTCACCACCATCCATTTTTCAGATGTTTTCATCTTCCCAAACTGAAACTATATACTATTGAACAATGACCCCTGCTCCACCGTGGGAACCACCACTCCACTTTCTGTCTCTGTGAATTTGACTACTCTCCGCATCTTGTATAAGTGGAATCACACGTTATTTGTCTCTCTCTGTCTGGTTGATTTCACTTAGCATCATGTCTTCAGGGTTCATCCATGGGCAAATGTTCAGCATGTGTCAGAATTTCATTCCTTTCTAAGACTCAATGACACTCTATGGTATGTCTGTATCCGCTTTTGTTTATCCATTCATCTGCCAGTAGACATGTAGATCATTATTACTGTCATTTGGCTATTGTGAATAGTGTTGCTATGAACACTGATACACAGGTATCTATTCAAGTCCCTGCCTTCGGTTCTTTGGGTTGTGTACTCAGAGGTGAAGTTGCTGGATCACATGTTAATAGTGATCCTGGGTTTCCTTTTTTTGAGGAGCTGCCATACTGTTTTTCTACGCCAGCTGCACCATTTTACCTTCCCACTAGCCACGTGCAAGGCTTCCAGGTTCTCCACATCCTTGTCAACCGTTGTGATTTTCTGTTTTGTGTTTGTTTGTTTGTTTGTTTGTTTGTTTTGGAAATAGCCATCCTGATAGGTGTGAAATTGTGTCTCATTGTGGTTTTGATTGGCATTTCCCTAATGATTAATCAAACTACCTTTTGTTTTGCCAGACTTGACATCTAACCTACTTTTTGTATCTGGAATTAGGATAAAACTCCTTTGTTAGAAAACATATGGATTTTTGGTTAAAAAGATAAGCACCATCAAAATCCACCTGAGGGATGGCTGAATTACTAGAGTCTGTGTGTTGAGTCTTCAGGGTATGTGGTAGGTGAAGGCTCTGGTCTGAGGCCTAGCAGGCCCAGCTCAAGGCATGTGCACAGGGAACATTGTAACCCCTCCCCATCTCAAGGCACAGTGAAATCCACTGCAAATACAATGGCTAGTGCCTTTTTACTATGGGGGAAAATTTGACATTCATTTCCAAGAGGTGCCATCTTTCATCTCAATGTGTTTCATGGGTCATGTGATCTCCGATTACTAAGGTGACACTTAGGACAATTTTATGGCAAATTGAGTCCCAAATTACAGCCCCTGAAGGGGTACGCATTAATAATGGCCTGTAAGAGCATCAGTAGGGGGCCTGAGCCAGGTTCCAGTGCAATCAGATGCAGTCACTAATGCAGCATTTCAGCAAGACCAAGAGGAATGTATTGTTAAAGACACACGTGCTGATCTTCTCTTTTCAAGAAAGGAGTACTCAAATTATCATAGACACCCACTGGATTGTAGAATAATGAAGACAGAATTATTTTTGCATGAATTGGGATTTCCTTGTGGCTGAGTTAAGCAGCATGACCCACTGTGAGTGAATTGGATGACTTTTCTTTCTAAGCATCAACCACTTTGTTTTATTTCTCCTTTAGGCATTTCTAGGCATTTTACTTTTCCGATGTGAGGAGTCAATGCCTCTAGCACAAGACAATGTGAGAAAGCCTGGCTGGGTCATTAATAAGCAAAACCTGGGAAAAAAAAGAAAAACAGCATCACCCATAGAATACTTTTCGTCCTGAGAGATTTCACAATTGGAATGCATCTGTGTGTGGTAATGTGCTGAGTTTTATAAGATGCTATCAAGGCAGGTTTTCCTACCTTTTGAGAATCTACTCTAGAAACCAGATATTGATGTTGATGTTCGTGTGGCTGCACATGCATGTATGATCATGAATGTGAATAAAAATAAGAGTTAGACAAGAAAATGGTGTTCTCTCAAGTGACAAGCAACATGACCCTAGGATTTAGGTAGCTTCTCCATACATTTAATATTAAATGGTTACTGGATTCTTATTAGCTTTCAGGAACATTGACTGATCACACTGCAAATATGTGTAAAAACCATTCTCTGAGATTTTACTCTGTTGAGTTTGTACTTTCTATATGTGGAGTATGCATTTCTAATCAATATAAAAGAGTAAACATTATTCTATTCTTTGCTATTCTGGTTTTCTTTAAGGGCTTCAGATTCCCTATTATGGGAATTCATTCCCCACTGAAAATACAGTGAATATCTACCCAGTGCAAGACCCTTTGCTAGGTACTAAGGAAACAGACATTGTCTCTGCCCAGTCAGAACTTACCATCTAGCCATGAAGACATATCTGAGCATGTCTTCCATCCTCCTTTTTCCTCCCTATCTTCCCATTACAGCTATGTTCCTCCTCCTCCTTCCTTGACCTCCCCTTCCTCCCTCCTCTTTTCTCTCCTCCCTCCTCTCTCCTTTTTGGCTTTTTTTTTTTTTTTTTTTTTTTTTTTTGAGACTAGGTCTCACTGTGTTGCCCAGGCTGGAGGGCAGTGGCCATTCTGCAGCCAGGAACTCCGGGGCTCAAGCAATCCTCCCATATCAGCCTCCCAAGTTGCTGGGACTACAGTTGTGTGCCACCACAGCTGGCTAATTTTTAAAATTTTGTGTAGAGATGGAGTCTTGCTCTGTTGCTCAGGCTGATCTCAAACTCCTGGCCTCCATCAATCCTCCCACCTTGGCTTCCCAAAGTGCTGGGATTACAAGTGTGAACCACCAGGCCCAGCCAGCATTTCTTCTTCTGCACAGCTTGGCACTTAGTCATTCCCCAGGAAATTTATCACATCAAAATAGTTGCTTCTTTCTTTATCTTTCTCCCCCACTAGACTCCACATCCCTGGAGGAAGGGGCCTGGGTTTCTTCCCTCTCTGTTGCTTCAGCTGCTGACACCATGCTCGGCTCATTGCAGGTCATCATTGGATGAATGTGCCTGAAGAACCGTGCGCCAGACATTGTGTTGGGCTGAGTGGAGAGTGGTCCTGCCCTGGAAGAGCTCTCAGGCCAATAGGGAGAGAAAGATGGTACAATAGACCATGGAAGGGAGAGCAATCATTAGTGAGGCAGAATAAGCTTGAGGGATTGAGGGCGCTCACAGAAGGGGCAGCTTTCAAAGTTGGATCACCCTCCTTTAAGCTGGGTTGCTGTACTCTTGGGCTTTGCCAGCAGTGCCTTGCCAGGTGCAGGCCTTCAGGAAATGTTTGCTGGACTATACACTCCGTTGGGTAAAGGTTTGGACCTTCTCTGTCTCACTTGCTATTGTCTCTCCACTTCCAGCACCACAGCTGACACATTGTGGTAGCCAATAAATATTTGTGCAATGAATACATGAATGAAGCAATGACCAAGTCCTCCTCCCTGTTTTTTCCAAATGCCTTTCTCACTTTCCCTCTCACTTTCTGACTTGCCCTTGTCCAAAGGTATGAGCTAATGCTTACCTCAATGGGGTGGTGCTGAAGATCAAAGGCAACAATACAGTCTCTATAAACTTGAGTTACTATTCTCTGCCTCTTCCCTGGCAAGGGGGATGTTGGGGAAGCTGGGCTGGGCTGACCTGGTTGGAGTTCAGATGCCCTCAGGAATTATTTATGCTCCTGCCAATGCAAAAAAGCCTTCCCATTTTACCATTCTTTAGAAGTTTTGTAGGTTTTAAAAAAGACCTTAGAGATTTCCTTCTTTGCAACTGGAAAAGAATAATTCAGGTGCAGTAATTAGGGTTAACACAGTCAGTGTTGACGTGGAGGGACCTAATGAGGTTCTTTCCTTTTTTCTCATTGGACTCTCCCAAAGGGAGTGCTTACTGCAGAAACAGGAAGCCCACAGTGATGGAGGGTCGGTGGCCTGTGTTAGTCAGGGTCCTCCAGAGAAATAGCCAAAAGGATGTGTGTATGTGCAGAAAGAGGAAGCTGGATTCCGTGCATATCCACGGATTTACACGGGAGTAGGGAGGGTGGCTGAATCATGCTTAAATACTAGACGGGCTGTCACCGACCCAGGCTCTGGAGGCTGCTTCTGGAGGCTGCTGGGAGGGGCCCCCTGTGCCTGAGTGACGTCAAATGCACCTGCAGGGAAAGAGCACCTTCCTTCCCTCAGGACTCCCCTGAGCAGAAATTTCTTAGTCATTTGTCGCGGTTTAGGAGCACAGCTGCCTGGAGACAGGGCAAGGCTGGCTGGCCTCAAGAGGTGGTGCACAAGCCCTGAGGTTTTTCAGCTGCTCCCTTCTCTGAGCTGCTGCTGCCCTCACCGTCTAAACTACTTATTCTGGCTTCGGCAACACACCCATCAAATTCATGTGATGCTAATAAAGCGGGACAAGGAAAGGAGCAGGAGGAGGTCAATGGCAATATTCTCTATGCCTGGCTTCCCAAACACATCCACCGGAGAGAAGGGGCTGGTTGCGAATTGAGGGTGTTGGTAAACCTGGTTTATGTTTTCAGGCTTCCGAAAAGGAAACTGGTGGGGCAGGAACCCCAGGACTTGAGCAAAATTGTGATGAGGGTTAAATCTGTCTCGTCTCAGCGTCTGACCCCTGCTGGTCTCCAGCCTCCTCTCGACCACTTAGAAACCCAGGCCTCAGCTTGCCTACTGCCCACTCAAGGCAGTAGATGGAGTTGTTTGTTTTTTTCTTGTAATTTTGTTTAAGTTCTTTGTAGATTCTTGATATTAGCCCTAATATCAATTTCCCTCAGTCGGAAATGCAGAAATCACCCGCCTTCTGTGTCGATCTCGCTGGGAGCTGCAGACCAGAGCTGTTCCTAATATGCCATCTTGCCAAAGTTTTATACATATTGCAGAACTCTCCCCTGAGACTTATTGGGAATTAATTATTAAACAAACCACATGAAAGTAAGATTTAGGGATAGTGTGATGTATAGCCCAACCTACTTCTAATAGATGGAAGCCACTGATATTTTTAAAAGAATGGGGCCAGGCGTGGTGGCTCACACCTGTAATCCCAGCACTTTAGGAGCTGGGTGGATCACCTGAGGTCAGGAGTTTAAGACCAGTCTGGCCAACATGGCTAAACCCCATCTCTACAAAAAATATAAAAATTAGCTGGGCATGGTGATGGTTGCCTGAAATCCCAGCTACTCAGGAGGCTGAGGCACAAGAATCACTTGAATCCAGGAGGCAGAGGCTGCAGTGAGCCAAGATTGTGCCACTGCACTCCAGCCTGGGCAACAGAGAGAGACTCTGTCTCGGAAAGAAAGAAAATGAATAGGGCTAGATGCAGTGGCTTTCCAGCCTTTCAGGAGGCCAAGGAGGGATGATTGCTTGAGGCCATGAGTTTGAGACCAGCCTGGGCAACATAGCAAGACCCCATCTCTACCAAAAATTTTTTTAAAAAATTAGAGAGGTGTGGTGGTTCGTGCCTGTAGTCCCAGCTACCTGTGAGGCTGAGGCAGGAGGATCGCTGGAGCCCAGGAGTTTGAGACTGCAGTGAGCTATGATTGTGCCACTGCACTCTAGTCTGGGCAACAGAGCAAGACCCTGTCTCCAAAAAACAACATGAGAGAATGAGGCAGGTGCTGAATGAAGAAACTGTGTAGCGGGCACAGTCTAGGAAAGAAGTAAAGGCTGCCTGAGGAATCTTGTTGTAATTATCAAAACAAGTGTATGTTATCCCAGGACCTTACGTCTGTTGAGCACTTACCAGATTATGACCTGGTTCTACACACAGCATCTTCTTTCATCCTCAGAACAAACCCAGGGGAAACTAGGCAGGACAGATTGGGCTTCACTTCTCTTACACAGATGAGGAGATGGAGCCTGGAGACGCACTGAGACTCCCTCAAAGTCAACTGCAAGTTGCAGTTTCACACGAGCACCCAGGCTTCATGGCCCCTCAGCTAAGAGTTCTCAGCAAGGGCTGAGATGGATGTCAGAATCCCCAGAAAAGTGTTTCCAGTGTATGGATATCTATACTGTGTATAAAATGCCATTCCCTTCAATAGCTTTGGCTGTCGAAACCCTCTGAATCTTAACCTGATTTTGTGCCCAGCATTGTGTTAAACACAGGGAGCCATAAAAAGAGCTCCTACCCTCCTGATGCCTATTTTTTTAAATTTATTTTTTATTTTTTATTTTTTGAGATAGAGTCTTGCTCTGTCGCCCAGGCTGGAGTGCAGTGGTGCGATCTCGGCTCACTGCAAGCTCCGCCTCCTGGGTTCACGCCATTCTCCTCCCTCAGCCTCCAAGTAGCTGGGACTACAGGCACCCGCCACCACACCCAGCTAAGTTTTTGTATTTTTAGTAGAGACGGGGTTTCACTGTGTTAGCCAGGATGGTCTCAATCTCCTGACCTTGTGATCTGCCCACCTCGGCCTCCCAAAGTGCCGGGATTACAGGCGTGAGCCTGATGCCTAATATTTAAGGACAGATAAACACGTCCTACTTTAAAATATGATGAAGTGTATACTAAGAACTTGGCACATCTTACAACAGGAACACTGTCCCATGTTGGAGTTTTTTTTTTTTGTTTGTTTGTTTGTTTGTTTGAGACTTAGTCTTGCTCTTTGCCCAGGGTGTAGTGCAGTGGTGCAATCTCGGCTCACTGCAATATCCACCTCCCGGGTTCAAGCAATTTTTGTGCCTCAGCCTCCCAAGTAGCTGGGATTACCGGCACGCGCCATCATGCCTAGCTAATTTTTGTATTTTTTGTAGAGAGGGGGTTTCACCACGTTGGCCAGGCTGGTCTAGAACTCCTGACCTCAAGTGATCCCCCCGCCTCGGCCTCTCAAAGTGCTGGGATTACAGGCGTGAGCTACCGTGCCTGGCCAGAGTTTTTTAATGTATATTTGTAGAATGAATAAATAAGTGAATCAATGAAATAAAAGTTAAGAGAGGAAGAGATGACTCCATCTGGGGCTATCAGGGAAGGCTTCTAATCATCATTGAGGTTGGACGGTTTAAAGCACAGCCACCCTCAATGTGTGTAACATGCCTTGTAATCTTTTATTCCTCTTGTTATAGCTATTTTACTTCCAGGAATTTATCCCTACGGACTTGTCAGGTTAACAAAAAAGATTTATATTCAATATGTGTTGATTTATGTTCAACAGTGTAACTGATAATTGTGAAAAAGTGGAAGCAATCTTATGGTCCAAGAGCAGGGAATAGTAGCCGTGCATAAATGAGAGTCGGTCGATCTATGTGATGGAATATTCTGCAATGTTAAAAGCCATGTTGTCAGAGCACATGTGCCAATTGGGGAAACAAATATACATGGTAGGATTATTAAAGGGGAAAAGGGTTCCAAAAGGACCATATCCAGGATAATCCAAAATTTGTAATAGCGCACGTGCCTCTGTGTGTGTGTGTGTGTGTGTGTGTGTGTGTGTGTGTGTGTGTGTGTATCTATTAAATAACAGTGGTTCTCTCTGGGGTGAGATGAAGGTAATTTTTTATTTTCAATTTCCATATTTTCAAAGTGCAGTTTTAAAAAGCAGCGGCCTTTCTCTCACTGGGCCATCAGGGACTTTGGGGGTTTGTAGATCTTTGTGGTCTATAAAGCTCTTTTTTTTGAGTTTTTCTTCTGAGCACACAAAAGGTGTGTAATATGTATCAGCACCCCAGAACCTGCTGGAGAGGGGAGAGCACAGAGGATGGGCTGAGCGGGGCAATGTAACAATTTTAAAATGAAAAAGAAAGGACGTGCTGCTTACCGTGCATGCAGGTGGACCCCAAAGTAGCTTCCTCAGGTGGCAGCGGGGTGGCTGCCCAGGGGACAGTCCCCTCCTCCTCAGCTGGCTGGATGCTCACAGCGCGCCCTTCCTGAGCTCTTGGCAAATGCACGTGTTAACCCGCTGCGGGGAGGAAGCTGGAAGTGCCGGGGAGTAGGGGAGTGAGGGAGGGCTGGACTTCCGCAGGAGAAATAAAGCGACTTGCAGTGACACTGGCTGTCCCCCTTCCCTCCCCGCCTCGCTGCCCTCTCAGCCTCCTGCTTAAGGAGACTCTTCTGGAGGTGAGGCCTGGACAAGGGCCCAAATTCTAGGAAAAGGGGCCCCTGAGGAGGGTTTGCCCTGCATGGAGGGGAGCACGTTTGCGTGTTTGTAGCAGCGTTTCTGTGTGCCGGCCCGGCTCGCCAACCTCACTGAGTTCTGGGAGCCTGGAACCTGTTTCATTCACTGCAACCAGCACGGTGTCTGGGACAGTGCGAGTGCTGCTCAGTGAGGGTTTGCTCGACGATTGTTTTATACATGTTGAGACGGAATCCACGAGCTTGAACACGACTCTTTTTCATCTCTTAGAAACATGCTTTAGGAGGCCTGAAAGCCAAGGCTGCTCCGTGGCTGTGGAGGTCAAGGCTGTGTGCGTAAGAAGCCCAGGGCGTGGGTCTGGCCTTGTGTGGGCCTGGTGCTCCTTCTCCACTGGGAATTAGGGATTAATCCCAGTAGGGGTTTGCAAATGCAGACCTTTGGTCCACTTGTCACGGGACTCTGAAATGCTGCAGGCCCCTGCCCAGGTTTTTGTTGTTGCCTCTTCCCCCAAAGTTGAATAATTGATTGATTCATTCATTCAGCTAATATTGGTTGAGCACCCACTATGTTCCATGTTCTGTTCTAGCCACTGGAGTTATAGAACAAGAGATATCCATGGGTGTTAGGAGCACTGCAGCCACTGGCAGGTCAATGCATTTACACTCCAAGTGCTCTGTAGATTTATAAGGGTTTTCTAGAAACAACACCTTCAGCTAGAAAAACAAGTGGAAGCATCAGACACTGCAACAGGTCCTGCATAGATGCGGAGGCATTTTCTCCATCCAGGTGCAGCCATAGCCTGATCTGCCATTGCTGGACAATGACATCACCTTGCTTTCTTTTCTATGACCTTCTAGTCCCAGGGGCGTCTGGCCAAATGCAGCATGGTGCCAAGGTAGGCAGAATGGCCACTGTCCTCCCTGAGACAAAGAGACAGGATCAAAAAGGATGGAAAGAATAAAAGTAAGAACAGTTTGGATAGTTTAATGGTTTGAGGGACAGATCCACCTAAGATTGTATATTTGGATAGTTTTTTTCCTAATGAAAAGTTACTTCTGATGACCACACAATACATATCCTTCCCAGAGACGAGAGGTGCTGATGTGAATTGGGACAAGATGTATTATAGGCTACGACAGGCCAGCAGAGCACTGAGAAGGTCTTTAATTGGGAGGAGTGAGGGCATTAGAAACAATTCTATAATAGAGGCTGCCTTTCCATCGTCTCCTCCCCAAGGGAATGATCAGTTTGGCACCACCTCTACCTTCTCTTCTAGTTGAAGGCATTATGTTTAGAAAACCCTTACGGCTTCTGCTCGGTTTACCCAAAGGGAGCCCAAGAAGGTCTTGGCTAGGATTTGGGGAGAAGAAAAGCAGGGAGCCTTGGAGGTGTGCATGTCCAGGCAAGCGTGGTGCAGTAGGAGACAGGGACTCAGAGAGGGATCTTGCCAGGAGTGAAGAGTATGTATTTGCTTTGAGTGGCCATCCTGCCCTATCTCCTGGGGGTGTGGAGCACTCAGTTGATTGGATGAATGTGGCACCAGCATCTAGGAAAGTCCCTCATTACTGTTCAGAGGGAAATGTCTGCAGTGGAGGGAGACTGTCCTCAAGGGAAGGGGCTACCCTGAGAGACCTTTTTCTAGTTCTGATCTGTTTTTGCCTTCTTGCCTGAATGTGCCCAGTTATAACTGAGACCAAGCACCAGTGTAACAGAGGCCCATGCATCCAGGCCCGAGCAATCTACAGTGACTGCAAATTCCCTTATTTTGTGTAAGCCCCAGAAACACTGGACTGAGGGAGGGCAACAGAAAATATCCCATTATCAACACAAGCTTCTCCACACTTTCCCCAGCGTCTGGCTCTCAGGTGTGCAGAACAAGTCCAGGGACTCTGGGACTTAGCTGACACCTCTACTCACTCCTGGCTGAGCTGCTGAACTTGTTGGGGGCCAGCTCCACAGGGCGACTAGACAGGCCTCATCCCATGAGGTCCTGAGAGGCCTGGGGGCTAGACTTGGGCCAAGGTGTTGCTGCCGTGAGAAGCACCCACCCCTAGCTCTTGAATTGCTTTCCCCCGAGGTACAGAAGGAGAAGCTGGATAGAGGAATTCACAACTCTGGGTAGAATAAAAGTGAACATTTAATGCCACCATAGTTTGATTTTTTTTTAAACACCAGATTCTTTTTTGACAACATTTTACACCTCATATGCCACAAAAAGTCAGAGATCGTAGCCAGCAAACAATGTCTTTACACTGGAAAATGCCACACAGCTTAATGGATTCATGTCACCAGTTTGTGAGAACTATAACTCTTTTTTTCTGGACTGTTCTCCAGGGAGCCTGCTCATATTTATCATAATCAAGCCAACACCTAACGTTTATATAGCTTGCAAAGGCCCATGCACAAAACTAGCCTGCCAAGGGGCTGCTGGGACCTGCCCAAGTACAGAAGAGTTGAATTTCTGACTTTAACAAATGAGTTTTATTGAAGCATTTTAACAGCAAACACTTGTGAACTAATAATGTTTTGAATGGCCCCAGTCTTCCATCTGGTTAAACAGTGGATTTCAGACAGTAACATTAAGCACTACCATTGAATTGTAAAACAAGATTTTATGAACTTATTTAGGAATTCACTGTTTCTGGCACAATAAATGCACCTGGGCAGACCTTGTCTCCACTTTTCAAATGGGCCCATTTCTACAGATAAGCATATTTATATACACATACATACATTACTAATCATGGAATTAGAGATCCAGAGCTTGAAGGAACCACAAAGATCATCTAGCACAATGTCTTCATTTTATAGGTTAGAAAACTGAGTTCTGGAGGAGTTAGGTAATATATCACGGACGGGACGACTGGCAAAGCTGGAATTAGAACTCAGGTTTTCTGTCCTATGGAATATATCACGGACAGGATGACTGGCAAAGCTGGAATTAGAACTCAGGTTTTCTGTCCTATGGAATATATCACGGACGGGACGACTGGCAAAGCTGGAATTAGAACTCAGGTTTTCTGTCCTATGGCCTTTCACCATGTCAGGTACCTCCTGTACACACACATCCGTGTATGTACACACACCTTAGAGGAATGGTATGTGTTCATGTCTACACATACCTGGTGCAATATGATCTGATGGGAAGAATCCAATAAGCTGGACTCAAGTCCCTGTTTTGCTATAAAACCACTCTGTGAACTCGGGCCAGTCAATGACTAGACTTCAGTTTCTTCATCTGTAAATGATTACCCCCAGCTCCTAGACAGACCTTTAATTTCTTCAAAGCACTTCCCATCACTTATACCACTTTCTCTTGATGCTCTCCCAGAAGGGCAGCTGTTCTGACCCCCAGTCTTCCACTCGGGAACCTGAGGCCCAGCAAAGCGAAGAGGCTCGCCCAAGGTTGCACAGCTAGTAACAACCAGGCCTGGCGGCCCATGTCCTTGCTCCTAGCTCAAGGCCTAGCCCCTCCCTGCCTCTCGGGACCCAGTGAGGGGACAAAATGCCTTAAGATTGTAAGACTCACTAAAGTACTTTGGTTTTTCCAGAGGAAAAAAACAGGTACTATATATATCCAAGCTAAGGAACTCCAATTGCTTTCCCAAACCCTCTTCAGTAGCACTAGGGGTTGGATGGGAGTCTTAGGGAAATGTAGGGAACTAATACTATCAGCACTTTCCTCAGGAATTGAATGTTGAACCATTAGGAAGAGGCTGAGTCCTCTTCCGTGCAAGCCGGTGGGCGTGGATTTCCAAGCCCATTCTCATCAAATTCAAAACGAAGGGATCTTTCCCATTTGGCTGCTTACTACAGAAACAGCTTAGATTTTGAACTAAGCCCTGTGCATTGAGGATTGGACCCTAATCCCTATTCTCTTGCTTTATCTGTCCTCTCCCCATCCCCCAGCCCATGTTTCCACTAACAGACTTTGCTTGAGTGAGAAAAACATGGAAAAAAATAGCCACAGACAGATCCAGCAAATCTCCACCTCGATGCACGGCACGTGGATAGCATTTCCAACCGTGATGCATAATAAGTAAATGAGAGAACACGAGCAATGCTGTAAAGCAACATCCTGAGTTCACAAATAAATTAGAACTTCTTCATAAATCAAATATTACAATGTGGGCTGTTAGCAGGATAGGGAATGAAAGAAGGAACCTTTTTTAGTGTTGAAGGTAATTTCTAGGTACGCATGGAATAGATGTGTGAGTGTGGTATTTCAGTACTCGCCTCCACACGTGTGGACCTTGGGAACAACTATGCTTAGAGATTAAGGTTTGTATGCAATGAAGGCTTGATACTGCCCCAAGCCGCACTGTGTCCAGTGTTATGACATTGCTGCAGGTTCTGGGTAGGGCCACCCAAAAGCAGAATGTGTTTGTTTAGGGAGGGATAAATTAGTTTCCAGGAATTTTCAGAAAAAATTTTTTTGAGAAGATGAGCTTAAATGACAGTATCTTCTCCCGGATTAGAATTACGCTTGCATTATGATGGAAATAATGAACAGGTTGTAATTTTAAAATGTGTCATTTTGTCAGGAAGATTACTAAGTGATGCACTTTATAAGCTGTTACCCACCAATGTTGACAGATACTTTCTGGAGGTGGAAAAAGAGGTATCAGAATCCAAAGAAACACTGCCCCCACCAAAATTTGAGACCCATTTACTTGCATCAGTGACACTGAACACCCAGCTTTGTTTCATTTGGTGCAGAGAAAAGTGGGCTGTGTGCCTTTCCTCCCTGCCCAGACTCCCGTGTGGTGGCATTGAAGAGTGTCCTTCATGGGGGGACAGCTGGGCCACATACCCCGGCGGCAGCATGGAGGCCCCAGGGACAGTGGCAGCAGACGGCTTAGCCTCAACTAATAGCAAACAGGACTTTCAACCTCTTTCTCACTGGCAAGTTTTCAGGGTTTAAGACGTATTGTCTTTAGAAGCGAGGGACTCTGTGTGTGCTCCAAGAATGGGTTACTAGTCCAGCAGGAAAGAACAATGAGTACAGGCAGGACTCCTTCCTTTTTTAGTTTGGAAATTAACTCATCTTTAGTCATTTTACAGTCTAAAATCCTTTTTGGAATAAGAAACCTAAAAAACCTAAAAACACTCAATATAATCAGCAGTGGCCAATGATATAGACGGCTGTGTTTGCATTGAACAAATCTGCAGATTTGTCAGCCTTGCCTTCTATCCAAAGAAGGTGGCTGGTTTACAAGGACATGAGATACACACCCAAGTGGGCACAACTGCATTTTTGGTCAATACAAACAGAACTCTGAGATTTTATCAGAAAGTCTGAGCAGCAAGCGTGAGACTTGTAGGTGCGTATAAGACTTTTTGAACCTCCACCCTGGATGGTAGATGCGGCTGGACTGAAGTCACTACCGCCTTATAAGAACATAATAGACTTCAAGTTGAAGGCTAATTTATGACAAACCAGGCCAGATTCCTGCCTGTCTAATTCCCCACGCTGCGATGCCTGGCTGTTTACCCCAGCTTCTCATGAGAGGAGCCCCTTCTCCAGCTCAGGGGTTCCCACCTTTGTCAAGACAGGACACATCTCTGCATTTGCATCTTAATGCTCCCCCATGTTAAGAATGGCAACTGGCGAATAAACAACGGGCAGAGTGTTCTGATTCCAAATCCGGAAGAGATGAAAGAGACAGCTTCCTCGTGATGTAGAGGGGAATTCAAGGACAACAAGATCAAAGTTTGCAGCTCGCAGGTGGGAACTGAAAGCCCATGATAAAGCAAACTCTCGCTCCTCAGCACCACCGTGCAATGCGACGTGGAGTGACTCCCAGGGACACAATAGCACCACCGCCCGTTCTTAGATCTTAGTTTTGCTCCGCTGCTAATGCTTCCACCTCACATATTTGGAGCAGGGGGTGAGGAGGACAGGTTCACACAAGGAGTTAGACCTATGCATCTAAATGTTAATTTCAAATATTTTTTTCTAGTCCTTTCGCTTGTGGGTAATGAAATAGAAATGGGTTCGTTGATATTCCCCCTTGCCTCCTTGGGTTCTCTATCACCAAAACCAAGGGGAGACCTGGAACTATCATGTCTGGCCACTGGGTAAGGCATCCTCCCGTGACTGGGACTGCTTCAGAATGGTCAGCCGGAACTCCTTCCTTCATCATCAATACAGTCAATTTATAGGCAGAGACAGGAACAAGCACATCATAACGTAAAATGCCTGATTTCTTCATGTGGTTTATCAATATTGGTAAATTAACATGTTTGCAGCTTATTTAGGTCAAAAAAAAGCAAAGAGAAGAGAGAGAGAATGGACAACATCAACATAAAGCATTCTCCTTCACCGTGGCCTGCGAGATCCTGCGAGGTGTTCTGTGATTGCCATCTTGGGAAGGAGTCTGACTTGCTAAGAGAACTCTTGGTTTCCTTCCGCCTTTTGTTACAGCATAAAGTTGCTACAAATGGATAAAAGCAGATTTAGGCAGGAGGCAAGCCGAATGCCACTCCCCTCGGAAGGATTCCATCGGTTTCAGTCCAGGAAGGGCACCAGGCTCTGTCACTGGCTAAAGGAAGGCAGTGCAGCATGGAAGGAACCTCAGGGGAGGATGTGGCAGGGGCGAAAGCCAAACTCATCGATGACTCATCAGATGAGTTTCTTTCCAACAAAAACAGAATATTCACCTTTGAAAATCTCCAATTAAAGACTTTTCATGAACTATATGTTTGAAACCAGCAACCAGCAGCCCAATGGCAAACTCGAAGGATTGGCTTCCCTTTGGGTCCAGAAGCCTCCAAGGATATTACTGTTAAGCAAGCCCACTTACACAAGTGCTTTGAGGCCAGAGGCGAGCCCAGAGCATGCGACTGTCCTGCAGAATGGGGTCAAGGTTAAGGAGCTCAGGGAGGTCCTGCTTCCCAGGGCAACACACTTGTCAGACTTGGGAGATACACAGAAGGAAGAACGAGCCATGCCAGAGCAGCCTCTCACTGTAGTTTAGCCTGTTCAGCCAGCAGATTTGGGCATGTCTCCTGTTTGCACCTTTGCATAGAAGCAGACTCTTATGGAAAGTGCAAAGCCAGACTCGTGACCCAGGGAGCTGGCTTCCAAAGCACATGAGCCAACAGGGCCACCTGAACCCTGTTCTGATAACAAAGGATCAGGTCATGTGAAGCTCACAAGACTTCGGTTCCCATTTACCGAGTTCAGCCAGCTGTGTGGGCTGCAGTGTCCAGAGGTACACTGACCAAGAAACGTAGTGTTTTTTTCCCCGCTTGGGGAGTGGCTGGGGCTGAGTTGTTGGTTAATAAAGACAGCCTAGCTTGGAAATAAATAGGCTCATGAAGATATGCTGCATTTGAGGGCAAAAGGGAAGCGTGCTCTGCACACGCCTAAGTACCATCCTCGATGCGAAGGCTGCAGGGACTCTTAGATTCTGGGCTGCACTATCATCAGCACCACAGCTTTTATCAGGGAAATCCCTTGACCACTCTGTACCCCAGGTTTCTATCAATCACTAAAATGGGTATCATAATTCCTAAGGGAATTGTTATAGGGAGGAACATCTGAATTTGAGGTCCTGAGTTGTTGGGAGCCAAGACCTGGACATCCATAGTCTTCAGCTATGTTCTGCCTATCCAGGGTCGTGTGAGTTATGGAGGGGAAGCTCTCTCTGCCTTTGGGCAGGAGCAAAGACTGAGAGGACAAGCCTGTCCCTTCTTGGCATAGAGGCTTTGGGACACAGGAGAGCTGAAATCCTTGTACTCTGGACAACAGACAAGATGTACAGTCTCAAGAATCCTTCTTCTAATCCAATACAGTTGAAGTCTCTGAACAAGCCTGAGAAGGTCTCTCAGCTGGGGAAAAACCCACTTTAATCAATCTACAACACAACACTAGAAAATACTAAAGAAAGAAATATGGCTCTGGTGAATTGGTTCCAGCTTTCGTTCAAGACTTTTTGGAATAAAAATGAATATGAATTTTGAGGGCCACGCAAACTGTGGATTTGTGGGTCAAGGAACCACATGTGTGGAGGACTTGAGGGGGGCAAACGGTCTACAGAACATACGGCCCACCTCCCAGGAGCAGGGAGGGCCCAGGTCGCAAAGGACTCCTCCTCCCCTGTGCTGCAGGTGCCGTCTCCTCACCTGTTCTCTAAAGCACCTGCCCCACAATCAACCTTCTGGGTCTACCTGACCACGCTGCTTGTTGGGATGTGGCATCGAGGTCACCTGCTGCTCCAAACCTACTTTGGAAACACACACACTGGCTCGTGCCGAGGGAAGTCTCTCTGTTTGAGTGGCCTCACCAGAATAACCATAAAAGACAGGTAATATTTATTCATAAGCAATACTGATTAAGAAATAGCTCTACAAACACAACTTACTTAGAAACAGCAAGTCAGAAATAGGATAAAACACCAAGAGAAAAAGAGCTGTGAATACATTTCCAAAATGTTTTTCTTGTTTGTTTTGTTGTTTTCATCTTGACTAGCACCATCTGTACACAAGAAAGTATGAACATAAATGTTTGGATAATAATAAAGATTTGCAAGGCACTTAATCAGTCATTCTGGGTTGTTTTGTGTTCGCTTTCCACAGCAATCCTACATCCACGCCCCTCCTTTCTCACGAAAGCAAGAGAAGAGTGAGGTCTCTTTTGCTAGCAGTTCTTATGTACAAACAAGGTCTTTAAGGTTCCTCAAAGTGCTTTTTCAGTCTCACAGGGCTTGGACACCCCTCGGGCTTCCCATCCTTTTCTCCTTCCACGGTGTTTGACGTTTGCACCTTTCCTACAGAAAACAAAAGAAAACTCGCCTTCCGCTCAACGCCCGCTCCAGACTTGCCACCAACCTTCATCCTCATTCATTGTCTTTGATGCCCCAGCACAGAGGGCCTAGGGGCGTGCAACATCTCTGAAGTCCTGGGGAGCGGGGGACCACTAGGACAAGGGTCTGGCTCATCTACCGGCGCCTGGAGGTGATGTCGAAGCAGGTGATCATCATGAGATGGGCCTTGCAGAAGTTGACACGGCTCTCCAGGCGCTCCGTCACACACTCCAGTGCCTCCAGGTACTCCAGGGAATCCAGCTCCCAAACCTGCTCCAAGTCAACTGCAAGAGAGGAAGAGCCTGATGGAGACGCAGAGCAAACAGGGTGAGAAGCAACTCCCGACGGCTCAGCCTGGAGCTGCCACCCCCACATCTACCCCTTGGTCTAAAGGTCTAGTTCGCTTGCCTTAGGCCACTGCAGAGTTCCCTCCTGCCTGATTCTCGGCCTCTTTTGGGTTGAAAGGAACACTCTTTACCAGTATTTAGATCCTTAAGGTTTTTTCTGAGATTCTACTGACCAATAAGGTGACATTCTAGCTCCCCCTACCTCCAGCCATGGAGGATCCAGGATGGATCCCAGGATTTGAGAGACGCTACCACACTATTCACTATCAATCAATCAAGTAAATAATTCAAGTTGAGGTGGGGAGAGTCCCTCCCTTTTGGGGGTCTCAGTTGAGTGACATTTATACCTCTGCTTCCTTATATGAAAGGACGTTTCTGGATTATAACCCAGATGCCTTTCCTGATGTTCAGGCCTGCACAGAGTAAAAAGTCTGTATCATTCCAGGCCTGAAGAGCAGGTATCTGGGATCAACCCCTCTGGCATCAAGTCCCCTGCTTTGTCCAGAGGTGGCCGGGCAGAGGGATGGGCTGCCTGGCCCAGGTCCAGGGGTCCAGCAGGCTCCCAGTACGAGGAGGAGAGGCGTGGACAGCAGTCCAAGGTGGTGGGATGGCCCTGGAACCCCAGGCACGAGACAAGCTCTGAAGAGACGAGCTCTGGGACCTCCACCTCTGCTGACAGTGTCTTTAAAGGCATGTGAGAATAGTAACTCCTACGCTGCCTGCCCTGCCTGCCTTGAGTTGCTGTGAAGAATAAAATGAGATAATAATGAACACGAACTTGATTTGAAAACGATGCCGTGCTATGGAAACACTGGGGCTTAGAGTGGCCGCTGTCTGCAGAGTGTCTTCTTTCTGCAGATGAGGTCCCTGAGAGCTGGACAGTGACGTGACTCACTGAGGCTGACACAGTTAACCAGGACTAGAGCTGGAAGGAGACCGAAGGCCCTGAATACCAGTTTAATATTTAAAAACCAAAACAAAAAAGCAAAAGGAGACATCATTCTATGACCACATCAGACTACATTACTGGACAACCTTAAAAGTGGCATCAGAATGAAGAAATAATAGAACTAAAAATGGATCTTTCCATGCCAGTCCCCTGCCTCATGCCCACAGGGAATAGTCAGCAGGCAGCTCATTGATCCTTTTTTTCATTACTGTTTTCAATTCATCTTCAAGAAACAATATATATTTCCCCTTTCATGTAGCTTTCTGTTCATTTTCTTTCTCAGCATCAAAAACACAGTGATTTTTGACATGTACAAAGACTAGAAGGAAGCAATTGTTTCCTGGAAGCATCTAAACACATATGTATTGATGTTTCAGCTTGTTCCCATCCTGGGAAAAATATGACTGACTTTGTAAGATGAAGATAATTTTCAAGTCAAGTCTGCCTTGGGCATAAACAGTTCTTGAAAATAAAATGTTAATGAAAATAGCAAAAATGAAGGAGAGAGAACTGACTGACTGAAAGGAGGCCCCTGGGATCTTGAAGTGGCCAGGGATTCCTGAAACAAGGAAAAGGGTATCCGCAGCGGGGAGGGATAAGCACAGCGCCCCGTGCGCATGTCACGCGCAGACAGTAACCAGCGCCCTCGCCCCTGTCTGCCCTCCCCATTAGCGCCTTCGATGAAAGGCCCTCGCAGGACTAGTTCATGTCTTTCTTTGCTCAAATTTCTAACAGAAGATCCAACTCCTCAGTGCATCATGCAAGCAGACACGAAGGAAATGCCTCCTGTTTTTTATTTTTATTTTTGAGACAGGGTCTGGCGCAATCTCTGGCTCACTGCAACCTCAGCCTCCTGAGTAGCTGAGATTACAGGTGCCCGCCACCACGCCCGGCTAATTTTTGTATTTTTGGTAGAGACAGACAGGGTTTCACACCATGTTGTCAAGGCTGGTCTTGAACTCCTGGGCTCAAGTGATCTGCCCACCTTGGCCTCCCAAGGTGCTGGGATTACAGGCGTGAGCCACCGTGCCTGGCCAGGAAATGTCTCCTGTTGTTGAACTTTGGGATAATAGTAATAATTACTACCAGATCCTGAGCTCTCATCCTGGGCCAAGCAGTGTAGTAAGCACCAAGAGGACCAACGGGAACTGATTTATACCTCACAACTGCCCTATGGTGTAGTCACCATTATTTTTCCCATTTTACAGCTAAGGAAGTCAAGGCTCAGAGTTAAGTGTCTTACCTGAGGTCCCACAGCTAGTATGTGAGAAAGCCAGCAGCCAAAGCAGGTCTGTATGCCTGTGGCCACAGCGGCAAATGCTGCAACTTAATATTATATTATAGAATGCTCCACAGACTGTCCCAAGAATCCAATGAGTACTTAGGGAAATGTTGTTATCACCTTATCCCTGTGGAGAGGCAGCTGCTGCGAGACTGCAGTTACATGTGGAAGGCACAGCTGGGAGGCTGACAAGTCCTGCCACTTTCTTCCGCACCTTCACCCAGGACCATTTCACACCAATATCTTTTCAACCAGCTGCTTTGGAACATAAACCTAAGCTTCCAGCCTCCACCTGTAGGCCCTCCACACTGGCTGGGGAAGACTGGAAGAGGGTTGGGGCAGTGCAGGGGAGGGGCTGTACAAAGGAGGCCTGCCGGAGGCTGAGGGCTGGATGGGAAGGGGAGGCAGAGGGAACTTGAATGGCAGGAATGTATTTCACCCCACAGACTGAGTCTTCCAGCATTAGCTCCTATATCCGTGTAATAGCTGGGACCAGACTGAAGTTTTATTTTGTGCTAAATGGAATGGTCAGGAACTAATAAGACAAGACAATTGAATCCACCTTTCAAAGAGAGCAAAATTGTCCTGAATTGTTATTAGATGGTTATGGTCATCCTGGGCTTTCTATTAAATGGAAATAACACTGTGGCTGTCTTTTTTTTTTTTTTTCCACTCAAAAATGTTTTCCTTGCTTTCTGGGTTCTCTGCGTGGCTTTTCGAGGACTGTACACTCTACCTTTTTAAGGGCTCTATAAATTCTTGTCTATTTCAGGCTAGATATGCAGTGTGATTTTGTGGCCTAGGAGATTTGTAATACAGCCTTCATGTCTGGGTGATCTTCTGCCACACGCAGGGGGAAAAATCTCATTTTCAGGTGCTTTGGACTGAGACACGTAGAAATAATCTTGCAAGAGCAATATTCACCACCCCTCTGCTGTCCCGGCCCCTCCCGCCCATCCCCAGGGGAGTAGGGCTGCTCGCTCGGTGCAACTTCCTCCATTTGATGGGCATCCTGTGACTGAGGACGAGGACACAGCCTGTGTCACTGTCACCCTGGGCTACACGCCAGCCCGGTTGAGCAGGTGAACCCACTAGTCACAAGGGTGGGAAGGCACCCCGGCCTTACATTCACTGAGCCACTTGTTGGGATCCAGCATCAGATACTGTTTGGTCGCCTCCAGCTCCTTCATCAGCCACTCGTACTTCGCGCGGACCTCGGCGATCCTCTGCTGGCGGTGTTCCAGAATCTTCAGCTTTGCATTGAAGCACATGGCCTCCTAGCACACAGACAGAGAGGAGAAAGGGCCCTTCTGCTCACACCCAGCCCACACCACAGGAGCACCTGTGAGTATCGTTGATGGAAAACAGGCTGGGCTTGGAGACGTGTGGGAGGGACATGGGTCATCCCCACCAAATTCTCCCTTGACAGACCTCAATTCAGACACCTCACAAGGTAGGACTATGACAGACCATTCTTGGACTATGACAGACCATTTTTGGACTATGACAGGCCATTCTTAAGTTGAGAAAGCAGGTGGTGGGTGTTCAAGTTGGACAAAGGTTGGTTAAGACTGGGAGCCTCAAGGAGCCAGAAAAGCCCCCAAGATCACCAGCCCCCGACCCCTGGCTTTGAAGCCCTTAAAACATTTCAGGAAGAGAAACATGGGGCTCTCTCCAAGGCCTCTGTCCAAAGGCCCTTTGCTGGGACAGAAGCCCCCTTCCCACCACCCATGCCAGAAGCCCGCTGGGAAGCCCGGGTCTGAGTTTTCTTCCCCAGGGCCCTGCCTAGCACCTGCTCAGGCTTGGTGGGGAGCTGCCACCACGTAGGCAGGGGGTGGGAAGGAGGCTGCCTCACCTTGCTGGCACCCCCTCGTCGCCGCTGCAGGCGCTCCACGTCATCGATTTCATAGACTTTAATCTCAAAGGGTTCCCCAAGGCCCCTCGGGCTGCTCCGCAAGGGGCCATCCACCCAGCGGACGCCTGTGCTGTTGGGGGGTTTTCTCACAGGGGAAGAGGTGTCCAGGGATAGTGCTGGGATAAGCCTCCGTCTCTGAGAACCTGAGGAGGGGGATAAGCCCAGAGAGTTAGTCTTTCTGAATTTCAATTTTTTTGTTGTTTTTTTGAGACAGGGTCTTGCTCTGTTGCCCAGGCTGGAGTGCAGTGGTGCGATCCATAGCTCACTGCAGCCTTGAATTCCTGGGCTCAAGCAATTCTCTTGTCTCAGCCTCCTAAGTAGTTGGGATAACAGGTGCACACCACCACACCCAGCTAATTAAATGTTTTTTTTTGAGAGACGACATCTTGCTATATTGCCCAGGCTGGTCTCAAACTCCTGGCCTCAAGTGATCCTCCCACCTTAATCTCCCGAAGTGCTGGGATTACAAGTGTGAGCCACTACACCCTGAAATTCAGCTGAAGCCTGAATTTCAATCTTTTAAATATTTTGTGGATGTAACAGAGGAGGTCATGACAAGCACCCCAGGATCTGAGGTAGGGCTAAACACTCCCACTTCCCACCACCCACCTCCACCTCTACTCCCCTAAACCAACACTTGGGCTTTAGCTCAGCAAACTCCCTGAGGAATCTTTAGAACCGCCTCCTAGTTTCCACCTGTAAAACACGCAGCCTAGGGGGCATCCTCAGCATGGATAGGTCAAAAGGTCCTAGCATTTGATGTCATTACAGGAGTTCCAGAAAACACTGTTTATTTGCTTATAACAGCAGCAGTAGCACTCACATGCACTGGTTACGTGCCTGGTACTATTTCACACACTTCACACGTTGTGACGAGGACGGCTAGTTCTCTCCCAGTATCTATCCTCTTTCTTTCACAGCAGAAGAGACCCTGGGTATTAGTGAAGCACATGGCTCCCAGAATGGAGACTAAACTCTTGCATGGTACAGGGGACTGACGTTTTGATGAGCAGATGCCAGCTGAAGCATGCCTCCTCCAGGAGACAACAAGGGGCACTCACTGCTGTGTTAATTTTCTCTATGGAGTGAACTCTGGGCTCCGAGCTCCTTTTGCTTCATATTAAACCTCACTGTTTTTGAGAGGGAGTCTCACTCTGTCGCCCAGGCTGGAGTGCAGTGGTGTGATCTCAGGTCACTGCAGCCTCTGCCTGCTGGGTTCAATCAATTCTCCTGCCCCAGCCTCCCAAGTAGCTGGGACTACAGGCGCCCGCTACCACGCACGGCTAATTTTTTGTATTTTTAGTAGAGACAGGGTTTCACGATGTTGGCCAGACTGGTCTCGAACGCCTGATCTCAAATGATCCACTTGCCTCAGCCTCCCAAAGTGTTGGGATTACAGGCATGAGCCACTGTGCCCGGCCAAAACCTCACTTTTTAGAGCCCAGATTTGATCTTGTGTAGACACATACACAATCGCATTTAGTTTCCAACAAAGTGCAGGCCCCAACTAACGAAACTAAGTAACATCGACCACGGGAATAAAGCAAATGTCTGTCTCCTTAGCGTGAGACACCTACCCTGGGAAGGGACCAGATCAGAGGGGTTTTTTTCTTTTAAATCAGTCTGATCAAGCTAGCTGACTGTTTGTTGGCAAACTGTTTAGCTTCTGTGTGCCTCAACTCTAGCTTCCAAATGGCTGCTGTGTAACAAATAAACCCCAAACCCAGCGGCTAAAACAACAAACATTGATCTCACATATCCCTGTGGGTTGGGAATCTGGGAGCAATTTTTGCCAGGTGGTTCTGGCTCAGAGCCTCTCGGAGTCGCAGGCAAGCTGTCAGCTAGGGCTGCACTCATCTGAAGGCTTGACTGAGGTTGAAGCTTCCATTTCTAAGCTCACTCATGTCATCATGGCAGGAGGCTTTAGTTCATTGCCATGCAGGCCTCTCCTACACAGGACTATTTATGACATGGCAGCTGGCATCCCCCAGAGGGAATGACCCAAGAAAGCAAGAGGGGCACCCAGCACAGAAGGTGCAGTGTCTTTTATAACCTACTTTTGAAAGTGACATACCATCACTCTGCCTTACCTCACTCAACAGAGACCAACTCTGGTAAATACGGGAGGGGACTACACAAGGGTGTGAACACCAGGAGGCAGAGACCATGGGGGCCATCTTGGAGCCTGGCTACCGCGGATGGGATATGATCAGATGGGAAAATGTCTTGGATAAGAGCCACCCTCCATCTCCTGCCAATACCCGTGCCAGGGCACCGTGTGAGATGGGAGTAGAGAAAAACACCTGGAGAGTCCTGCCAATACCCGTGCCAGGGCACCGTGTGAGCTGGGAGTAGAGAAGGTAAAAACGCCTGGAGAGTCCTGCCAATACCCGTGCCAGGGCACCGTGTGAGCTGGGAGTAGAGAAGGTAAAAACACCTGGAGAGTCCTGCCAATACCCGTGCCAGGGCACCGTGTGAGCTGGGAGTAGAGAAGGTAAAAACACCTGGAGAGTGACATTTCACTGGGCTACAACAGCTTCACAGAAATATCCTGGCGGGTATCTACTTCCTTCCCATTGCCTCCTTTCCATGCCATCTAGCAACCTTGAACTTCCTCACCACATCGATCCCTCTCAAGGTGAAGTGAGTGCCCACTGTCAGGTTAGGTGTGGTTTGGGGGCTAGGAATACCTTTTTCCTGCACACGAATGAACAAGTGTCTTGGATTTTCGTAAAATTCTGAATTTGGGTACCAGAACCTCAATCCCGTGAATGGATTGATACTCAGTTCCTGCACCTCCAGCTGAGGCTCCCTCTCCCCGCGCCTGTCTCCCTCCAGAGGTGCATGTGAGCTTCACTTAGGTGATGGTGAGGGAAGCCAAGTACTGGGGCAGGGGTAATGTGGTCAGGCTGAGGAAATGGAGTGAAGTGGCCTGAAGGGAGTTCAGGGGCGGAGATGGTGCCCTCACATTACTGGAAAGGGCACAGGAAGCGATGTTACTGCTATGCCATCCCTGGGCAAAGAAAGACTGACCCGAGGGTCCTGGTCTGGGGCCCCATATAAATAAGGGTTCTTAGATTTTCTGCATGCTCCAGCATTTCCACCTCTCAAGCAGATGCCCAGTTTTCTGCCAAGCCCGGTCTCTGCCAGGGATCCCCTCCTTCCAGGCTGCGAGTGGGGTCAGGGGACCATCAGCTCTAAGAAAGGTACAGGGGAAGCCCCACCCTGGCGGGAGTCGTGTGGTGCCCCATTGGACGCCGCCTGTCTGATCGGGGAGCCACAGCCAGGGCCAGCCTCCTGCTGACGCCGGTGGGTTGGGCTCCCTTCTGCTTTTCAACCCCTCCCTGCTCATCAGCCTGGCATTTGGTCCAGGCATGTACAAGTGCAGCATGTTCAAAACACTTGGGCTGATACCTGCCGACATGGATTTACCGCATGAAATGGCCCAGATTTGACCTGAGAAAGTCAACACTGATACTTCAGTGAAACTTCCAACCAGGACCTCTCCCACTAACAGAGGCTGAGCCCACCCCCTCGCCCCTCCTGTTCCAGGCCTGGCTGACAGCTGCGTGCAGTCAGAGGGGTCGCTGGCCCATCACAGTCCATCTTCCGGTATCATCTGCGGTGCTGACAGCCCACGTGAGAAGCTGACATTGGGCCTTCTACTCTTAACATCCCTGAGTCCAGACAGAAGTCCCCACACGAGTCTGCAGATGCTGCTGCTGAGGTTAAGTGTTGGGAAACATGGGTGTTCTGAGTGCTGAGCCCTCTCAGCTCCCCCTGGGGAATATGCTTCTGCCCATTCCCAAACTCCTGCTCCTGAGAGCCCTCCAGCATGGCTTTCGCTCCATCGCCCACTGTCTGCATTCTGATTCAAAGAGTAGGCACTAGGAAGACAGTCAAAAAAGCACGAGGCACTAATGTTGAAAGGAACTGTAGATATCAGAGCAGAGAGAGAAAGAGAATGTGAATCAATCCATGTGATTTTGTTGACCAGGAAGGGGCCAGCTCCATGATGAAGAACGATGCTGGCTGTGTGGCCTGCTGTCATGTTTTAGCTGAAAAGGCAAGTGCTCCCGTGCTGGGGATGAGAAAGAGGCAGGTTCTCCAGGGCCACAAAGCTCTCCTCGATGCCGAGCCTGGGCTTCCTCCCGTGTTCTCTGCGATTCCGAACCCCGCACCTAGGACCACAGTGTCATCTCACAGCATCAGCGCCACCTACTCTCTTTGGGGTTCTATTCTAAGGAGCTTCCTTGGTGTCTGAGAGAATCAATGACTCTCCTCCTTTTCCCCCAACTGTGTATTCAAAAAGGCTCTCATTCTGAACCTATTCTCAACTGGCTCTAGGTTGGTTCGCTTAGAAACATTCTGGAAATCTGAAGTCTGACAGCAAGCGGCTTGCCTTCCTCTGGTTTTCATTAAGCCAGTGATCACTGTGCTGCTTGAATTTATTAAAACAAAACCAGGATGTGCCTGAGAACCAAACGAATAGGAGAGGTTGGCAGAGCAAACCATGGTGCCCTCGGTGAGGAGCAATTAGTCACAAGTTTTTGTGCAGCGCCCTGGGAACTGAACCTGGTAGCCTGGGAGCTCAATTCACTACAGGTGCAAGTCACAACTCACAAGACAGGCCCATCAGTCAGTAATGTTGACTCAGCACCAAGAGAAAGGCACAGGGTCTGGCGCTTAGAATGACAAAGTAGCAGACTAGACTCAACACTTAAAGCACTTAGCACCAGCAGGAAAAGATATGAGAAATACACAGAAAATAAACATGAGTAAACTTTCAGGACTGTGCCGCCAACCAAGCAACCAGCCCATCAATGAATCAACCAATAATATCCAACAGTAACCTGCACCAGCCCAGTGCTGGGCACCAAGCAGGCTGGGTCGAGCGCAGAACAGGCCTTGCTCATGTCCAGGCGGGCCAAGGTCTGGAGCATTCCAGAACCTCCATGCTTCCCTGAGGGGCTTCTCTTCAGGCAGACCCTCCCTCACTCCAGGGCTTTTCTGGTGCTGAGCCTCCCTGTGGTGGGAATGAATTTAATTCAGACCAAGGTGCTCATCTAACTGTCAGACTTCCCCATCCAGTCCAAGAAAAGGAAAGCAAGGGAAAGAATCCAAGGAAGTAACACACCAGGATGAGGGTGAAATGTTAAGAGACTGGAGGAAGAAAATAGGATTGACATAACATATAATGGATGATAGGGGACGGGGGAGCGCGAGGACTGGGGGCTCAGGGTAGGGGCTCAGCTGGTGTAATTATGGCATCAACTGTGTATCACAGATTGACATCCTCAGCTGCTGATATGTGCACTGGCCAGGACAGACATTCCCTTCCCTCCTGGGCTCATTCTTGGCTCTGGGCTATACACAATTTCATCTTGCTGACCATAGAGGGGCTGGCAAGGAGCTGTGGATGAAGCAATGAAAATCCATCAATAAAAGCAACATCATTTCTCTCACCTTATCACGTTGTTGGTCAAGAGCCTGTAATGACTCCCCATTGCCAACTACAATAATATACTGATATTCTTTTAGAACTATGTAGAATATAGAATAATGTGTACTGTTCTTGTAGCTCCCAGATGTTCCAGGTGTGACTGTGGCTTGTGTTTGTTCCGGGTGTGACTGTGGCTTGCGTTTGCTAGCGTCTTGCTCTGCTTGCTGGGACGGTCCCTCCTTGAGTTAATCTCGCTGTGTCGCCCACAGGCCAGGCTCTTGCCGCTGGGAGTTTGCAGTCCCATCCCTGCCTCAGCCTCGATGCCCTGCGCCCTCTCTGCCTGTCCCGATGTAAGCACCCTCCCGGACCAAGCTCAATCCCGACATTTCTCTGCAGCCTTTGCCTTGCAGGATCCTGCTTTGTCTAAATGCTCTCTCCACTTGGGCCTTCACTACCCCACTCAGCATCTGGGAATGCACTCAGTTCACTGTTCTCTATTCCACGCTTTTCACCCTTTCTCTCCAATTAGATTACAAACTTCTTACAGTGGCCTTGTCCCCTGTGCCGGCTGCCTCCACCTCCACCCACACACCAGAAACTATCACCAAGCTCTAAGAGCACAGAAGATACCTGGTCAATGTTGAACAACTGAAAATAAACCCCACTGACTACAGATTGCTCTAAGGAAAAGACATCACATGACCATAACATTATTTAAATTATCTGCATAGTCTCATATGATGTGGGCAGCAGAGAGACCATGGCTATTACCTATCAATCTTCTCGTTTTACTTGCATATGAGAAAATTGAAGCTCAAAGAGGACAGTTATTCCCCAAAGGTCACACAGCTCAAGATTCTAAGCCTCCTCCTGCTTTCTAACTTAATTCACTGCACCCTGCTATGGCCGGTGGAACAAGCCCAATGCTGCACACTCCTCAGCAACATGGACCTCCAAGAATGAGAAGACAAGAAGGAACCACGGTGATATTTGGTCGTTTCTGCTGTTACATGTACTACCAAGGAATCAGAGAGGTCAAGGTTATTTTCCCAATAATTCTAGTTCATTTTTACTAAGGAAATAAGCATTAAAATATTCCAAATTCAAAAGCCATCTCAGACAAAAGATGTCTCCTCTCTGGTTCCAAACACCTCTCATAATTGTAAACTCTAGCCATCTAGTTAGGAATTTCCTTGGAGGAGTTTTATAGCTTCTCTTAAAGAAGTTGCTTTTGATTTATGCTGACCATGTCTGACAGCCACCGTTTCTCTTAATAATAATCATAAATAAGCCAGACAAGGTCACCTAACCTGAAACCAGCACATCTCCACTGCCACATCCATCATGGAGCCTGGATCTACAGCAGCTCATCACAAAGGTCTTCTGCTCTTGACATTCCACATGAAATCCATTTCTAGCACCTGCCCTGGCATTTTAATTTTACACTGTTTTCCTCCAATAGCCTTACCTAACCAGAGGCTCCTAGAGGACAGCATTTACGAGAGCACTTAGCCCAGAGCAAGGGCGTATGCAGAGCCTGCTGCCTGCTCGCCAAGCAGTCACTTCACACGTTTGTTTTTCCATCATTGTTCTTCCTCTTTACTCCACTGTAACCGCCAAACCAAACAATAAAAGTCTTGGGGAAAAAAACAAAAACCTGTGAAAGCCACGGAAATAATGAAATGGACTGGTAGACGCAAGGCACTAAATTTGAGTCCATGAAAGCACTGTGGGACACTGAAACACACGTGGCCACGCAGCCGATGCCACACAGTCATCTGGACTTTGAAGACCGAGGCTGCGTGGATTAGAATAACAAGAGTTCATTAACCAGGTACTGGGAAGGCCGGCAGATGCTTTCCTGCTTGTTATTTTTACTCTCATCAATACGTTTCAATGCCCTTGGCCCTGGCCATAAGACACAGAAGCTGCTACGTTACACGGAATGGCTCTTCCTTTTCAACTTGTCTTAAATGGGGTTCTGCTCCAAGTGCTGTCACCGAGATTGAGGGGTGAAGTAAAGCAGAGTCAAAGCGTATCAAAGACTGAAGCATACCCCCCCCCCAGGCAAATAAAGATGTCAAGGTACTGACAGCCACGATGATTCCCTACCATGCTTAGAGCCTAACATCCCCATGGCCAAGTTCTGTGATCTGTGATGAGGGGAGCGGATGGGGCTGTCTATATCATAAAACTACATCTGCATAACTACACCATCCCTTAAGGTGGATTTCTTTGATTCTAGGAAGAGGAATGGTTTATAATGTTCACTGACCACAGCCCTTACATTTGGAACATTCCAGAGTTTGTGCTCGCCTGTGGTGGGAGAACAGGAAGAAGCCACCCCATGACAGAGAACAAGCCTGTGGGGCAGTTGCTGGAGCAGTAGGAAAGGGGAAGCCCTACATCTGTGTCTCACCCCATCTTTTACTTCCACATATGCTGCGGGCACGGATCCCTGCAGGGACCTGGCTTCTGAGAGCATGTGAAGAGCCTAGTGTTGCACAGAAGGGCAGCGGGAGGGGAGAGACAGGCCAGGAGGGCAGGAACCCGGCCGCCCTGGCTTCAACCAAGCCACAGAATTGCACGTGGGGTTCTGCGTAAATTTCATTTATTTTTTTTTAAGCCCTTAAAGGATGAGCAGGGGTAATTTCTTTGGAAGCCACTTATGAGCAGAGATGATTCCAGGCAAAATTCTCAAGTAGCTTCAGTTGTTCTTGGGAACTTTTGCCTCTGTCTGTCTTTTTCTCTCCTTACCATCCTTTCATTTCTCCTACCCCAAGACCTCCAGGGCCACCAGCTCTGACCCGGGTCCTCTTCTCCTTGCCCATCATAACTTACTGTCATGTGCCACCCAAGACTCCAATTAACAAGTCTGTGGGCTTTATATATTAATTATTCTGGAGTACGTGCCTTTTGATAGGAGATTCTTAAAAATGACAAAGACTGACTGGGTGTGGTGGCTCACGCCTGTAATCCCAGCACTTTGGGAGGCTGAGACGGGCGGATCACTTGAGGTCAGGAGTTCGAGACCAGCCTGGTCAACATGGTAAAACCTTGTCTCTACCAAAGATAGAAAAATTAGCCAGGCACGGTGGTGCACGCTTGTAATCCCAGCTACTCAGGAGGCTGAAGCAGGAGAATCACTTGAACATAGGAAGCAGAGGTTGCAGTTTGGCAAGATCACGCCATTGCACTCCAGCCTGGGCGATAGAGTAAGACTGTCTCAAAAAAAGGAAAAAAAGAAATGGCAAAGACTTTCTCCAAAATCACGCATTTCAGGCATCATGGTGTGTGTGGCGGGGGGCACTGCAGGCCCTGTGGCAGGTGTGCAAACATGACTGTCCACAAATATGTTTGGGGTGGAGGTGGAGGAAGGGCCTCGCCATTCCACTTTCAATGGGACAATCTGTGCGTTATCCCACATCCCTGAGAGAGGCTGCCAGGGTCTTGCAGGCCACCAACCTCACAGGAGGGGCTTCTGAAGCCACCAGGTCATGAGGGTAGGTACCCTCACCTGATCCCTCAACAGGCTGTAAACCGTCCACAGGATCCTTGGTTGTTGAACAGAGGGGCAGGGGTGAGGGAATGGACGGCGAAGAGCCAGGCTGCCCCCAGAGCGAGCAGGTGCGGGTCATGCTGCCACCTGCATCCGGGCCCTCGCCTTTCCACCCTGCTGAGCGCCAAGGGATTCACGGCCCTAAGCCTGATGACGGCACGCAGTAGGGCAGTTTCTCACAGAGAAACCCTCCGCGGTGATGTCCCCGGCGGAGCCCCGCGGGGTGCCGGGCCGTGGGAAAGGAGAGGCCAGGCCTGGACGCCCCCTCCCCAGGGCACGGGACACCCTGGCAGTGGGGTTTGGGCAGTTCGCCCACCTGCAAGGAGAGGCCAGGCCTGGACGCCCCCTCCCCAGGGCACGGGACACCCTGGCAGTGGGGTTTGGGCAGCTCGCCCACCTGCCGCCCTCCTCACCCGCGTCCCTGCGCCCAGCCGCCTACCTGGATTGGAGCGTTTCTTCGGGGTCTTGAGGCTCCGGCACCTGCCGCCCACGGAGCTGCTGTTCTCGCTCGTGGAGTCCTGCGCCGAGGACGCGCTGCCGGTGGCCTCGCTGTCCCGCATCACGCTCTCGTAGCCGCTGCTGCCGCCGCTGTGGTAGAACAGGGCCGTCTTCCCCATGGCCGGCGGGAGCTCCCCGCTCAGCACGCTGCTGTTGTCGCTGCCGTGGCCGCTGCTGCAGCGGTGGGGCCTCCGCGGGGGCGTGATCTTGCTGTAGGGCGACGGGAGCAGGTGCGCGGCCGCGGGCTCGTCCTCGGCCAGGGCCCCCCCGCGCGCCTCCGCCTCGGGCCCGGCCCGCAGCTGCAAGCCCCGGGCGCCCGCGCCACCCTGCAGCAGCTCCGAGATGCGCCCGCTGACGGCCCGCAGGGGAAGCTTGGAGGCCAGGCCCGAGCTCCTGTTCCTGCTGAGGGACTGCGTGGACCAGGGCGTGTGCTTCCCACCGGGGGGCGAGCTGGAGCCCTGGCCCACCGCCTGCGGCAGGGACTTGGTGGAGAAGCTGAGGGTTTTGGTGGTGGAGGCGGACGGGCCGCGCGCTCTGGGGCTGGCCAGGAGGAGTCTGCTCACGGCGGAGATCTTGGACTGGCCGGCCTTGGGCGAGGCCCCGGAGCTGGGGGGCGAGGTCCCGGCGCTGCGGCCCAGGCTCCTCCCCGCGCGGGGCATGGTGCCGTCCTTGCCCGCGTGCAGCCGGGAGCTCACGGAGGACAGGCTCTCGGCCCGCTCCAGGGAGAGGCATTCGTAGTGGCTGACTGTCGCCCTGCCCAGCGAGTTGCTTCTGCTGGCCAGCTGCTCCAGCTTGGCACTGAAGAGCTTGCTGCTGCTGCTGGCGTCCTTCGTCTTGCCGCTAGGCTCGTCTGGGAGGCCCGCCGGGAAGGCGGCTGGTTGGTTCAGGGGGCTGCTGGTGCCGCTGCCGCTGGCACTGTGCTGAGGGCTGGCCCGGTTCTTCTGGTCCAGGCTGGACTTTCGGACAGGGGGCAGAGGGGGAGTCCCTTTGGGCCGAGCCAGAACACAGTGCTTGGGGGAAGCCACCTTCCCCTCCAGGGTAGCCTTGGAGGGCGGGGTGCCCGAGGCTGCACCCACCCCGTTGGTCTCAGCAGCGCAGTAATAGGAGAGGCTGTCCGGCTCCTCCTGCCGGCTGGCCTTCTGAAAGGCCCTGGGAAGGCTGCTGGACTTGACGCTTTTGTTGGGATGCACGGGGCTCTGGGTGGCCAAACCGGGCAGGGCCATCTCACACCCATCCACGACCCTCCTGAAGTTGTCAGTGACCGGGGAGGCCGACACCTCTCCGCTGCTGCTGCTGAGCCTGTCTCCCGGACTGGGCTTTCCGTCCTGCTCCTGCTCTGCTCTGGTCTCAGCATTCGAGGGGCCCGTGGCAGTCTCACACCTCATCATCCCTTCTTCATTGGGATGAGCCGTCTCTTTTTTCACTTCCTCTTCTCGTTTCAGCCACGGGTCCTCAAATTTCATCTCTTTCTTTGCACTGTTTTCCTTACTCTCCCGGGACTGGGCTAATGTGGGGCCTGCTTTGGGGGTGGCGGTGGGGGCCTCCGGCTCTTGGATGTTCCGGGGGCTCATGGCAATGCAGGGGTAAACTGTGATATTGGTCTTCATGGGGATGTACCCCTCGCAGCTGCTCAGATTGGCCGTGTTGGAGATGGTGACCATGGCCTTGCTCACTGTGGATATTTTGCAGCCTTTGATGGGGGCTGCTTTGTTGAAAGAGTCATCTCCCATCTCAGACAGGATGAGCAAGTTGTCGGGGCTGGCCTTGGGCTTCTCTCTGCACACCACAGCGGTGTTCTGGAGGCTGCTGACAAACTCCGAGGCCACAGGTTCTGCCATTGCCTCCCCGTGCCCAAAACACGTCTGGGCTATGAAACTGTGGCACGACTGCTCACCCTCACTGCCCGCGCTCATCTCGCTCAGCCAGGAGCTGATGGAAGAGCGTCTGCTCCCTGCGTCCTGGGCCTTCTCATCCAGGCTCATCTTCGGGAGGGGCAAGAACTGTGTGATGCTGACCTCGGAGACGGGGGCCGTGCTGGAGTAGCACTCCAGGTCCTCGCTGATGCTGCTGATGATGCTGACGGGCCGCGAGCCCGAGGCCAGGGCCCGTGCAGAGCAGTCGCTGTTGAAGCTGATGATGCTGGTGGGGCGGCCGCTGTCCAGGACCCCGCTGATGGTCAGCTCCTCCACCAGCGTGAACACCAGCTCGTCCTCACCGTTCAGCTCCAGTGGCTGCTGCACCGTCACCATCGTGGTGCTCAGGATCTCCTTCTTGGACTCTGAAGGAGTAGCTGCCTGCTGCTCATCATCGACAGGAGTTTCCGGGAACCCTTCGCTCCCAGCAGACATGGATTTTTTCAAAACCTGGGGGCTCATTCCAACCGGGGGCGTACGCACCTCGGGCTGCAGCAAGGACTCCCTAGACGCCACGCCGGAATCCTTGCTCGAGGGAGGCAGTGGGGCGGGAGACGGCAGGACCCCCTTCTGGGTGTAGACTTTGCATCTCTGGGAAGGAGAGCTGGGTGGCTTGTACTCCGAGGTCTTGGACAGGCTGGCGATGCCCAGCCGGGGGGAGCCCATGGGCCTGGGCTTGCCTTCCACGAAGCCGCAGGAGTTGAGGCTCTCCCGGCTGCTCTGGAGGCTGGGGCTCTGCACGAGTGGGGAGGCGCTGTGCTGGCTACTGCTGCCCGGGACGCTCCTGGGTGAGGCCGGGCTGGGGCTGTGGGCGGGTGCCGCGGCGGGCACAGGTGAGTGACTCCTCTGCATCTTGGAGGCTGGGAGTTCAGGGCCTTCTCTGTTGGTCAGCTGACCTTCGGACCCATTATCTTCCTTATCAGACTCAGAGAGTGGGCTTGCCCCCGCTGCTTGGCTTAACCGGGGGCCTCTGCTTGCCTGCTCTGGCCCAAACTGAGCAGGCAGTTCTTCGAAAGGAAAGCTGCTGGGCTCCTCGCTGCCGTCGATGCAGTCCAGCCTCTCCTGCAGCTCGGCAAACGTGTTGCACTTCAGGCAGTCCCTTTCTGACTTGCCGGCTGCAGCCTCTCCTGCCTCTGCGGGCCGGCTGTCGCCCCGGGTCTTCTGCAGGGCTGGCACGATAGGGACAAAGTCTGGGGGGCCCTCGTTGTCGGTGAGCTCCTTGTCAGAGAGGGCCGTGCCGTTGGGCCCGATGTAGATGACGGTGTCGCAGGACTGCTCGCTGCTGGAGGAGTAGTCGGGGTCGCTGGACAGGTGAGCGATGGGGAAGTCAGGGTCCACCGTGGCCCTGGTGTGGAAGGGTCTCAGCTGGGTGGGCCTGCGCATGCGGCCTTCTTCGCAGGAGCTCTCCCCGCCGGACGAGCTGGATGTGTACTGTGAGTGAGACGGCAGTTAATGTGGTGGCCTTTCCGTGGCAGTTTCCCCGGGAGCCCAGCTGTGCGCGGCAAGTGGTGAAGGCCCCTGACGACACAGGCTACTGACAGCCACCCCCGTTGGCCTCCCGCACGTGGGCCACTCGGGGTGCCATGCCCGCGCGCCCGGTGTCACATCACCACTGCATTTGTGAAGGGGAAGCCCCGTGTGGCACGCTGGGGAAACAGCTGCTCAGGAAAGGGGGTGACCATCCAGGCCCTGCCTGACCAGCTAAGGGCTGCTGGCTCACCAATGTTTGGCACCCTGTGCCGTGGAACTCTGGTTAAGAAACGCTATTTAAAGATAAAAAAGGTACAAAACAGAGAAGGGGGAAAAAGGCCCCCACCTCAGCAGCTGCCCCTGCCACTGAGTGGCCACGATCATGATGGTTTTCTCAACTACTTGCCACCCTGCCACCATCCTGGCTTGGCCTCTGCCTGAGAAAATGAGCCCAGCGATGTCCAGCAGACTCAGTATCATCCAGAAACCACTGAATTGCCAGGACAAAAGCAGCAGCCAGGGAGTGACTCCTGGACATGCAGCAGGGGAGGGGCCCTGAGAGCAGGGAGTTGAGAACCTCTTTGGTGCCAAGCCTTCGAAGGACACAGTCTCCACCTACGCAGGACCGAGGCCATGCATGAGAAAAACAATATTTTCCATCCCTCCAACGTTTTTCCTCTTGAGGTAGCAATCCATTTGTACTCTCTAAAGCGGACCAAGTGCTTCCGGTCAGGGGTCCAGGCTGGGTGACCAGGGCCAGCACCAGGTGTGGGGAGGTGACATGACTTTGTATCAGCCCCAAGGTTTCCCTGCCCCAAAGTGGACCCTGAGCCACGTGTTGTCAGCTCCAAGTCACATCTCCTGATGCTGGGGGATTGGCAACGTTGATTTGGCTTTTTCTGACTCTGTTCCAGGGCACGGCTCCAAAGGCTCCCTCATCCACCACCCCCCCACCCCGCGAGCTCCTTACCTTCGTCTTCTTTTTCTTCATCCTCAAGACTCTCGATGCAATCTGGATGGTGGACAGGGTCTCCGCGTAGCTCCCGACCGCGGCCGAGATGTGCGCGATCATGGTGGTACGGCAGTTCATGTTCCCCAGAGACTCCCGCAGCAACATGGCGAGCTTGCTCTCTCTGCCAAACAAAGTGAATTAGGCTGCATTAGCGGCCATGCTTCCCTGTGGCCCTCAGGGCAGGGCTTCAGGCCTGCACACGGCCATTTTGTTGTGGGTGGTGGTCCCCCCACCCTTTTTAATGGCATACTAATTAGCATCATTTTCCAGCATGGGGCTATTTGTAGTTGGCAAGCACCGAGCAAGTGCTTCTAACTCCAAGATGGAATCTGTGCAAAGCACCTCCCTTGGCGCTTCTGTCCTGGCTGTGATGGGATGTTCCTGGGCGTGTGTGTCTGTGACATTATACATAATGAGGCCTGGGAATAGAAACAAGAGGAGGGGATCAGGAGAAAGGGCTCTGTGCCTGGTGACTCGGCTTGCTGACTGCACGTGTGGCCTTTCTCCAGGGTTTCCACACACAGACAATCTTGCAACAAAAAGGAGTCCCCCTGCCACGAACCTGGATTAAAGATCGGTGGGTTTTTAATACCTGCACAGTTCCTTTAGCCAGGAAACTGCGGCTACTTTATTGGCATTGTCCCTTAACTCGCATATTTGCACCTAGTAGCACTGAAGGAAAAGGCATTCATATTCCTGAAGACTAGGGGAGAAACACAGAGAGAGGCCCAGCCAGTCACTCTATCCACAACAGAAAGCAGCACTTCCTATAGAGAGGCCTCCTCTGGCAACTGTGCAGGTGCTGTGCGGGGCCACTGCCCTGAGTGGTGATAATGAGGCCCTGGGGTTTGCAGGGAGTGTTGCTACGTCTTTGAATAGACCTGGAGAAATGGCTGGTTTTCTGTTCCTGTACTCGTCCCAGCATTTTTCCTGCCTTGCTTTTAAAGGCCTCTGTTTATTTCATCAACAGCACTCATACTCTCAACTGCTGCCAAATGTCATTGCATCTCTGGCACGTTCCCTGATCCTGAAGGGCTGAGGAAGCCTATTTCCCATGCCGCGTGCTCATATCTCCATGCTGTGTCTGCGATTCCAGATGAGAGGAATTCGTCCCCATGTCCATGTCTCATCACCCATCCCCTGCAAAGCTCCCTGGAGAGGGACTATCCAGCTCAGCAGACACTATGGGAGACTCAGGCCACTGTCAGCAGAGAGCAGACCATTTTACACGTGACCTGCTTCTGGCCTCAGGGAGGGAAGACTGTGGGGTAAGAGCAATAGCTTTTCCTTCTCATCTGGGATCAATTAAGGTGTAAGTTTGGCGACGCTGGGCTAAAGCTCACTTCCAGAGCAATGTAAGAATATACCAGGGCTTCCCTTCCAGCAAAATGACCAGTGATGAACGTGGCGAGGTAAGGGATATAGAGGAGGAGGAGGAGGAGGAGGAGCTGTGAAAGTTTAACTCCTTCAGAACGTTATCTGTCTAGCAGAAACCCACGGACAGCCGCACTCGACGAGGAAGCCAGGCCCCATTCCTGGCACACATTCTTAGCAGAGACGTTGCACCTGGATGCGTCTTGGGCTCTGTCTTCAATATGCGCAGTGGAGGGTGAGTTCTGCTCAGTTAGGTTGTGATCATATACAGTCAGGTCTTACATGAGTAGTGGAGGGTGAGTTCTGCTCAGTTAGGTTGTGATCATATACAGTCAGGTCTTACATGAGTAGTGGAGGGTGAGTTCTGCTCAGTTAGGTTGTGATCATATACAGTCAGGTCTTACATGAGTAGTGGAGGGTGAGTTCTGCTCAGTTAGGTTGTGATCATATACAGTCAGGTCTTACATGAGTAGTGGAGGGTGAGTTCTGCTCAGTTAGGTTGTGATCATATACAGTCAGGTCTTACATGAGTAGTGGAGGGTGAGTTCTGCTCAGTTAGGTTGTGATCATATACAGTCAGCTCTTGTTATTCATGGTAGCTGTGTTCTATAAAATATTTGTGAACACTGAATTTGTAAATACTGGGCCATTGTTCTTAGGGGAAATACAGTTTGGTGCAAAAGTAATTACGGTTTCTGTCATTTCGATGACTTTTTTTTTCTTTCTTTTTTTCCTAAGACAGACTCTTGCTCTGTTGCCCAGGCTGGAGTGCAACGGCACGATCTCGGCTCACTGCAATCTCCGCCTCCCAGGTTCAGGGGATTCTCCCGCCTCAGCCTCCGGAGTAGCTGGGACTACAGGCACGCGCCACCACACCCAGCTAATTTTTTGTATTTTTAGTAGAGACGGGGTTTCACCCATGTTGGCCAGTCTAGTCTCAAACTCCTGACCTCAGGCGATCCGCCCGCCTCGGCCTCCCAAAGTGCTGGGATTACAGGTGTGAGCCACTGCATCTGGCCCATTTCAATTACTTTTGCACCAACCTAACGTATGGTTTAGGTTTCTGTGAACCTCTGATGACAAAAGTTTCTTCAACTGGTCAATACGTAACCTTGTTAATAAGATGCTTTATTTAATACGTTTCTTCAAAATAATGAATTATATTTGGTATTTCTTTAAAATAAAACACTAGCCAAGAAGGGTTTAATACTTTCCTTCCCTTGGGTAACATGATTGTACATTTCTTTGGTGTCTAGCCTCACACCAATGCTATCTATTACATTAAATGTTCTCATCATCTGATGAATCCACACATTCAGCCACTTTTCATCTCTTCCATGGCTTCCTCATGTACTATAGCTGTTACCTTAGCACTTTCCAGAGTGGCCCCACATACAGATGGGCCGAAGGCGCATCCCCCTGTATCTCCACGTGACCCTGTGTAAGTCCCCAAGAAAACATACCAAAGACCGGCCGGGCGCGGTGGCTCATGCCTGTAATCCCAGCACTTTGGGAGGCCGAGGTGGGTGGATCATGAGGTCAGGAGATCAAGAACATCCTGGCTAACACGGTGAAACCCCATCTCTACCAAAAATACAAAAAATTAGCTGGGCGTGGTGGCGGGCACCTGTATTCCCAGCTACTCAGGAGGCTGAGGCAGGAGAATGGCGTGAACCCGGGGGGTGGAGCTTGCAGTGAGCCGTGATCGCGCCACTGCACTTCAGCCTGGGCGACAGAGCGAGACTCTGTCTCAAAAAAAAAAAAAAGAAAAGAAAACTTACCAAAGACCGGATAAAAGGATGTAACGTGGTGACATCAAGCTGGCTGCCCTGTGCGCTTCCTCTTCCTTTTTCTGGGTGTGTGTATTCTTGATTCATTAACACTAGACCCCCATGAGCACTGTAGCTCCTACCTGAAAGAAGTGTGTCTAACACATGGATTTTCTCCATAAGGCACATCACAGCCTTCCTGTGCTTAGGGACCCTAAATAGGACATCAGCACCATTCTTGGGGGCCGTTTACAGCAAAATAACCATCAGAAAGCACAAAAATATGAAAAACACAGTGCTAAGGAGACTGCAAAAAGGACACATGTGCACGATATGAGAGCCAAACGTGAAGGCAGAGCTTTGCACGCTCCACCTCGGCGGGGAACGCGTGCATCTGGCGACTCAGTATCTTCACCCCTCTGCCCGTGTCGGAGAATGACTGTGAAACCGCTGTATTGATTTTGGGGTTACAAATGCATTTCAGTGAGTAGGTGAATGTGCAAATACAGAATCTGCAAAAGATGAGGACTGCCTGCACTCTGAAGTTCCCCGTCGTCTTGTTAACCCACTGCACACAGCTGACGGCAGATCCCCTGGGTCTCCATGTGACATTACCCAGGAAGACAGACCAAAGACAGAATTGAGAGAGAACATCGTGATAGCGAACTGCCTGCCCTGTGTATTTCCGCGACTCCCCACCCATGACTCAATCACATGGTAAAATGTTTACTGCGACTCCCCACACCTGACTCAATCATATGGTAAAATGTTTACGGCGATTTTTTTAAGTCTACATTGTGGAAAGAAGCAGCGGCATGTATGCTGCTTAGCAACCGGCATTTTAGCTCTCCTTGTGGAAAGCAAACCGGTAGAGCTGCTGGTGAGCCCTTCATGTGGGCCTCTGCGGACTCTAAAAGATGTCCTTTGGGGAGTAAAACATGGTGCATAGAAAGCTGCGGCTTTCCCAACCTCATGATGATCATTTAACTTGGAATAAAGACAACCAAGTAAGGGAGGGCAGGGGAGGGAAGGGGCAGGGTACTGAAGGCTGCAAACTGTAGGAGGAACTCGGAATCTTTGGAGGGAAAGAGAAAGGTTCAAAAGAGTTTCCAGGGCAACAGTCAGCACAGACTTAGCCCACTCTTTGCATCAAGTCTGAAGAGAGAGGAAGAGAAAAGAGGAAGAAGCGTGCAGGGCCGCTGGCCACCCCCTCCCCAGAGCCAGGCGGGAGGGATGGAGGGAGGTGGTGCCTGGAGGGGTTTGGGTTGGGGGGCCCTGGCTATGGAGGACAGGTTGGGCAGGCACAGGAAGGGACTGGGGATGGAGCAGAGCTGACGGGGGCCTGAGGAAGGACCGCACCGCTCTTTCAAGTAGTTGTGTTTACGCATACATGTTTCACTCCCTGCCTACACTGACCACACTTGCCTTTGAAAATAAATTTATGCTGGGCACCGTGGCTCACGCCTGTAATCCCCACACTTTGAGAGGCTGAGGCGGGCAGATCACCTGAGATCGGGAGTTTGAGACCAGCCTGGCCAACATGGTGAAACCCCATCTCTACTAAAAATACAAAAATTATCTGGGCATGGTGGCGCGCGCCTATAATCCCAGCTTCTCAGGAGGCCGAGGCAGGAGAATCACCTGAACCCAGGAGGCAGAGGTTGCAGTGAGCCGAGATTGCGCCACTGCACTCCAGCCTGGGTGACAGAGCAAGACCTTGTGTCAAAAAAAAAAAAAAAAAAAAAAAAAAAAACACACACAAAAAAAACACAAAAAACCCCCAGATTTTTAGAAAAATGTCTTTTTAAAATCAGTGAACACTTATTAAACAAGAAAAAGGACAAAAAGAACAGGATAATGAACACACTTTAATAATCATTTTTAAAGGCATGAAAGAGCATGTTATCACTCAGGCACAGGGCTGACCAACCAGGGTCCTGCAGGCCCAAGCTGGCACACTGCCTGCTTTTGTAAATAAAGTTTTATTAAAACACAGCCACATCTATTTGTTTACATAGTGTCTGTGGCTACTTTTGTGCTACAATAAGAGTTGAGTGGTTGTAACAGAGCCTGTGTCGCCCACAAAGCCAAAAATGCTCGCTACCTGCTCCTTTGCATAAGAAGTTTGTTGACCTCTGCTCTAGAGTAACCGGGAAACAGTATCATCCCAGACACTGAACCACCAAGCAGAGAATGCAGGTCCTGACTACACACCAATCCATGGCTTTGAGCAGCAAAAACGGAAACAGGCACATGAACTGTAGGCACACAGCCAGCCATACGCACAGGCATGCTCTTTTCTAGAAAAGGGAGAGAGTTTTTGTCTTGCTTTTTTTTTTTTCTTTTTTGAGACGAAGTCTTGCCCTGTCACCCGGGCTGGAGTGCAGTAGTGTGATCTCAGCTCACGGCAACCTCCGCCTCCTGGGTTCAAGCGATTCCCCTGCCTCAGCCTCCTGAGTAGCTGGAACTACAGGCATGCACCACCACGCCCAGCAATTTTTTGTATTTTTTAGTAGAGACGGGATTTCACCATGTTGGCCACGATGGTCTCAATCTCCTGACCTCGTGATCCTCCCTCCTTGGCCTCCCAAAGTGCTGGGATTACAGGCGTGAGCCACTGTGCCAGGCCTGTCTTGCTTTTTTTTACAGTAATACCTTGGTTGAATTTAAGGATGGAAACTACACACACAGAATTCTTACACGCATGAGATAGCCAAGATAACAACAACTAATATTTAAATGCCGAGAACACTGACTGGTACCACTCGCACTCTTAAGGACAGCACCCTGGAACTACATCGATTCCAGTAACCATCCCACGCTCTACCCACTTCACCTGCAACGTGCCAGAACGCGTCGTAGAGAGATGGAGATGCTGGATGAGGATTGCCAGGTATCAAGCCAGCTCCAAGAGCTCTGATCTCCCAGCCCTAGGCCCCAAACCCCAGGGCCCTGCATTCACCCTCTGACCACCAAGAGGCGGCTGCAGAGTGAAGAGGAGAAGGAAGCAACACCAGAGGGGGACAGAACCACGGCTTTGAAATACACGCTGACTGTTCAAATATCCTCCTCACCACTGACCCTGCCTCCTTCCTATTTACAGCCAACTATCTGTGAAGATCCTTTTCTTTTGTCCCCTGAAAGGTCACCAGTGACCCTTGGAGACCAGCCTGAGATGCCAGGGACCAGGGTCCCAAGCCATCATCCCTGGCCCAATGCTCCTGGCCAAGGTGAGCAGCATCTCCGCAGTTCCTTATCCCTCATGGGAAAGGCTGTTCTCAAGGGAAACCATCACCAGCTCTGCTGAGGGCAATTCTGCCCCAAAGGGTCTCCTAGGTCTCAAGTAAGTGTCTTTATTATTTCTGACAGTGTTGAGTTGCGCCAGACTGAAACACATACCTCCAAAAGGGAAAATCACTTTATTTTTATTTTATTTGAGTTTACTTATTCCTAAGGGACTTGATGATCTCGCTGTCCATGACTGCTTCCTGAACATTCCTACGTTTGAGGCAAGACTTTGGACGCCTCCCCTCTGGGGAAGGTATCTGCTCTGCAGAAGTGGCCTTGTCTTGGCAACATTCCCTTCAAGGATGCTAATGCCTTAGGGCATGAATTACTTGCTTTGGGGTACTAGAGAAGTACCAGAAGCTTGGTATGGGCTGAGCTATCCTGATGGCATTTTCAGAAGGAGAGGTACGTGAAGTTAAAGTACTTGCTGCTCAATTTCAGATAGATAGTACTTTGTTTGTACTGCAAATGGCATAAGCAGGTCTGTCCTGCAGGATGCTGGGAAGATGACTGCATAACATTCGTGGGATAGAGAAGCCAAGTTCTCAAGTCTTCCGATGAAGGTGACTCTGGCTTGTGTAATAAAGTATTGGCAGAGATAGCCGAGGCCAGCATGCATGCTAGAGGTTCTGCAAACACTGTCATTCGGCAGTGTACACGATGATTAGTTGTCTCATCAAGGAGAGCTTAGAAGAGGTCCCTGCAGAGAACCACCCACTCTGGCTGAAGGACCAGCCTTTGTGATCCAACCAGCACACCTCCTATTATGAGGTCATGTCTTGCTTATCCTGAGACCGCTGGTTGGCAGAGGTCTTGAACTATTAAGAGTACATGAAGTTAATCTATTTATTTGCTCATCGATCTCTTTTTATGAAACACTGTAGAACCCTGAGGTGCAAGCAGCATCATTTGAGATGCCTCTGAGGCAGGATAATGCGTGGGAGAGACGCGTTCTTCCCGACACCATCCTGGTCATTTGGGGCTGGCACCATGATGGCTCTGGAATGTTGGTGGCTGTGCCCAGTGACAGGCAGGAGAGAAGTGATGGTTCCCCGTGGGGCCTGCGATTCTTGGTGAAGCAGCAGTTGTTTCCAGGAGGAGACGTGTGATGAGCATTCATGAGAGCCCTCAGGGACATCAGAAAATACTGGATGGAAAGAGTTTGCACCAAGTGGAGGTTTTACATTGCAAGTATGGGCTGGAGCCAACAAGTCTCTGTTATGATTTTAATAGTTGCCACTGTACACAGAGGAGGATGAAGTCTGGATGAAATTTGGGCCACATGAATCTATTGGATCCTAGATACCAGCATTCTATTTATCTGAATAAGATAAAATTCATGGCAATTCAACCTACTTCTGGAGAAAGACCAGCTGTAGACAGCAAACAGTCTCAATAGAATCTTTTAGAAGAAATATATGATGTAACTCCAATTTATAAATAACAGAAGGTTTCAAGTCAAAATCCTAACCAATCTGCTTTGATCTCATTGAACAAGACTCGCTTGCAATGAATGACTGAAGTGGATATAAAACATGAGTTCACTTATATGTGTCCCATGAAACTTTTATTACTCATTTATCCTTCTTACCTAGAACAATGAACATCATCGCAGTGACAACCATGCAGAATTAGCAGAACCTGAATTACTCCAGATATTCTCATTCTTAAGTTCTGCTCAGGAAGTGTATATTCATGCCAAGGCCATGGCACTCAGGTACGATATTAGAAATTTTCAAGGTAATTCACATAATGACTTATGAAAGAAATAGTCCACTAATTCCAGAATACAATTCTGTCAAGATTGAAAACTCTTTTTAGGGCCACAGAGTATTAGACTTGAAAGAATTTGGGAGATTATTGCATTTCCTAATAAAAGCACTGCCATGGTAACAGGTGATCTGCTTTCTGCTTGAATATTTTTAACTTGGGAGAACTTACCATCTCCCAGTACAGCCTGTGTAATATTCTGAATAGCCTCAATTATTAGAAAGCTCTTTCTTCTATTAAACTTAAATCTTCTTTTTAATAACTTCTAACCCATGGCCACTGGCTTTGTTCTCTAGGATTATATGGGGTAAAAATAAACCCTGTTGCTCACATGGGCCCCTCACACTTTAAAGACAGTTATCATGTGCTTCTATCATGTTACCAAGACAAGGCCACTTCTGCATGGCAGTGCTCTTATTAAGAAATGCAATAATCTCCCAAATTCTTTCAACTCCAATACTCTATGGTCCTAAAAATGTTCTGTTGTTTAAGAACATTCCATGTTCCTTCCATTGCTCTTCAGATACTTCGTTCATCCAAGCTCACACTAGCCCCTTTCCACCCTCACAATTTAGCACTTCTCAGGTCAGGCTTGGGTAGTAAAAAATTTGACCTTTCCCAAAGATAGATGTGGCCTTTTCCATGAGCTTCTGGGAGGTAAACTACATCATACTCACTGGGAGTGCCTTTGTTATGGTGAGGGTTGGCCACATAAGATCTTAGGGTAGGATGGGCCATACCTGATAGTCATATGGTCCAAGCTGGTTGCAAGAGAAGGATCAACCATGTGATTTAGGGCAGGGGCTTTGGGGTCACACAGTACCAGTCCACCTGGAGACTGAGTTAGACCACATGGGAAATCAATCAATCAATCATGCCAATGTAATGAAACCACAGTAACAACTCTGGATACAAGGCTCAGGTGAGCATCCTGGGTTGGCAGTGCTCCACGTGTACCATCACACACGGATGCCGGGAAGGTAATGTAATGTGTCCTGATGACAATGGAAGCGTCCCTTTTGAAACCGTCCTAGATTCTGCCCCATGTGTCTCTTCCTTTGGCTGATTTTAATCTGTCTCCTTTCCAACATATTAAATTGTAGCCATGAGTATTTTCCGTGAATTCTGTGAGTCCCTCTAGAGAATTACGAGCCTGAGGGTCGTTTTGGGAACCCTCCAAACATGCAGTTGTCACACGTGACAGTGGTCTTGGGTGGGCTCTTTCTGCTAACTTTGTAGTTGGACCCTAATTGCTTGCAGTAGGTGTCAGTAGTCTTGGGCCGACTTGGCAGACTGGGGGCCGTGCTCTCCATGTTTGAAGTTTGGCTGATTCTGAGGAGCTCATCTCAATAAGATCCTAAGAACCTTGACTATAAGAGCTGTGTTTTCATTTTGCCCTTTCTTTGCAGTAACTCAGCCAATATGTACAACTTATTAGCTCTAGGTCAGAAAGGAGAAAATCCTACATTTATTTTTATTCAATGTAGCATAATCAGGAGTTGGAATGTCATCACTTTGATGAAAACCCAAAACAACAACTTAGAAGGTGAATTAGTGGACTTTATAGACAAATAGAAAATAATAGATCCATAGATTTCTCCTGAATCAATAGACTGCCAAAACTTACATATTCTAATGAAGTTAAAGATGAAACGAAGATGTGCTGAAAGATTCGGTAATAAGACCCTGTGCACTTACTGAGCATGCAGACTGTTCTTTAATAGATGTGTGCGTATTTGATCCACCTGCAGGATCAGATTAGGAATAATGATGTTTATATCATTACTGCAATTTAGAATGCAAACACGACTCTGACATGTTTCACATTGTCTGAAGTTTCACTTCCTTTTAAATTTTTTTTTGGCCTGAATCATTATCCTGAGTTATCAGTGCTTTGCAGTAGACATTTCCATAGACCTGTCATTTTTCACAGAGCCTTTGCAACGGTCTGTGACCAGCTTTACTGGTGGGGGGGATAAGGAAACATCTCAGTTATGTTGCATTATAACCATTACACATCTTTTGAGTCAAGATGAGCTCATTGTACTATTTAGAAACTTTGATCTCCTTCCACTTTAAATCATCCTCAGGTTTAGGAGTATGTGCTAATCACAGTGCCAGAGATCTCTGCAGCAATGCAAAAGGGACTTAGGCACTGCTGGGTGAGAGAGAAGGGGTCAAGAGTCATGTTGTCATAGTAACCCAGAGGCTCTCCCTTGATTTTTTCTTACTCTTGTCCTTCCCCAGGGACTTTTAAATAATTCTCAGGAAGAAAGAAACTGCAGAGCCCAAGTGGAATTCTGGATATAATGAAATGCTGCCCCAGCCTGGTGGCTTCTCTCAGATCTTTCCTCCCGGCTTGCCGCTTCATCGTCTCTGAACCTCCTGTGTCTCCTTCGTGATAAACTTGCATTTTTAGAACATTCCTGTGCTTTTCCATGAGTGTGAGTGAGTGTTTCAGGTAAGAAACATATGTGAAGTTTATATTTGATGTGGCATTTTGACAGCACCCCTTTCTGTAATTCAATCTACGATCTCCCTTCAAGGTTGACATTAGAAGTGTGTAGAATCTGGGCTTTGAAAAATCTGCAGGTGTATTCAGAGTTCTTTCAAAAAGACGTGTTTACTAAATAAGGCCAGGAAATATCTGAAAGGGTTTCATTTACTATTTTCTATCTGCCCCCTAAGCAAAACCCTAAGATGGCAGCGCGCAGCGGGGACTGGGCCTAAGATGGCAGCGCGCAGCGGGGACTGGGCCTAAGATGGCAGCGCGCAGCGGGGACTGGGCCTAAGATGGCAGCGCGCAGCGGGGACTGGGCCTAAGATGGCAGCGCCCAGCGGGGACTGGGCCTAAGATGGCAGCGCGCAGTGGGGACTGGGCCTCGGGGACTGGGCCCAAGATGGCAGCGCGCAGCGGGGACTGGGCCTAAGATGGCAGCACGCAGCGGGGACTGGGCCTAAGATGGCAGCGCGCAGCGGGGACTGGGCCTAAGATGGCAGCGCCCAGCGGGGACTGGGCCTAAGATGGCAGCGCCCAGCGGGGACTGGGCCTAAGATGACAGCGTGCAGTGGGGACTGGGCCTAAGATGGCAGCGCGCCGTGGGGACTGGGTACATTATGGGGCTTATGTTTTCCAGCTCTGGAAACCCAGGTGAGTCCCTCTAATGTTCTCCAAAGCGGTACAAGATGGTGCTTTGGGGAAGAAAATATTGGAATTTATATTTATTGATCTCATTCTTTAAAAAAAAACAATGGATTTGAGAGATACAATACAGTATTACCAACCAACTTATTCAGTGACTCTCTTATCCCTCCACATTCCTTGGAAAGGTGAAAGGGAGGTTAAATAGGACTAGGTAAAGGTCTAGGCTTGGTAATTATACTAGATTACAATTATGATTACTTCCAGCCTCCAGACTTTGGTAGAGCCAATTTTATGCTCTCTATCCAAATAAAATAGACTATGCAAGTTTGAGCCCCAAGCAGCTGTTGCATTTGTATTCACTTGACTGTGTTCTGATCTTGTGCACACAAAAGGCAGACAGGTGTAACCTTGCTCCATCAGGCTGCATGTCAGTGGGCACGCCTTGTGTTACAGGGTAACCTTCCAGGAGGGATGACAGAAACCAGCTCATTAGGCCAGGCCAGTTGCGTGGTAACATCACCCTGTCCGGAGGGATTCAGACTGGTTTGGGAGGATGCATTTGTTCGTGAAATGTCTTTCTTCCTGTGATTTCATGCGCACGTCTGTCCCTGTGCCGTGGCCTTTCTGTTTAGTCAGCAGCGTGAAGCTTAAAACAGGATTCTCATTGTCAAGGTCAGGACGAGCCACCTCCTTCCACCCCTGCTCCCTGCTCCTGACCAGTGGTCTTTCCAGCACTCAGTTGGGGATCCCGAATATGGTTCCAGGAGGCCTGGTGAAGCGCCGATGCCACCAAGACTGTTATTCCCCGAGATGGAGTCCTCGGGGCTTGCCCAATGCCACCAAGACTGTTATTCCCCTCAGGGCTCGCCCGATGGGCTCAGACTGGCATGACCGTGGCTGTGTGTGTTACTTCATTGACTGGCAGTCTGGAAGGACTCCCCCTTATCATGTGATGGTGACAAGAAAGATGATTTGGCGGCTTTGGACCTGGAGCTGGGAGGCTGAGTGAGGAGGATGAAGGTGCCTTCCTACACATCCCTGCCCGCTCTGCAGGCTCGGGGCACGCACCCCTCTATTCACTACGCCCTGAACACGCTGTGAGCTTTCGTGCCTCTCCTGCATCGGTGCTCATCCCAGGTTTCAAGTCAGAAATGCCCTTTCATCTCTGTCTATGGAAATTCTTTCATGTCCTGCTCAAATCCATGAATCCACTCATTATTATCCACTACTAATCCTTGTCATTCAGAAAAACAAGGGGAAAAGTCTGACAGAACTAGCAACCCCAAGGGACTTGTGTCCTTAGAAATCACCTGCCTTTTCCTATTTTTATTGTGGTGAAATATACATAAAATGTCCTATTGTAACCTTGCAACTAAGCGCACAGTTTAGTGGCATTGCGCCCGTTCACATTGTTGTGCAACCATCACATCCTTTATCTCCAGAACCTTCCCAAACAAACAAACTCTACCCATTAAGTAACAACTCCCCACTCCCTACTCCCCCGGCCCCCGGTAACCACCATTCTACTTTGTGTCTCTATGAATTTGCCTGTGCCAGGTACCTTGTATAAGTGGAATCATACAATATTTGTCCTTTGGGGTGTGGCTTATGTTACTCAACATGCTTGCAAGGTACATCCGTGTTATATTAACAGCATGTATCAGAATTTCACACTTTTTATGAGTGAATAATATATTCCATTAGATTTGGAAGCAACCTAAATGTCCATCAACAGGTGAATGGATAAAGAAAATGTGGTATATATACACAATGGAGTACTATTCAGCCATGGAAAAGAATGAGATCCTGTTGTTTGCAACATCATGGATGGAAATGGAGATCATTTTGTGAAATAAGCCAGGAACAGAAAGACAAACATCACATGTTCTCACTTGTTTGTGAGACCTAAAAATCAAAGCAATTGAACTCATGGGCATAGAGAGTAGAAGGATGGTTACCAGAGGCTGGGAAAGGTATTGGGAGAGTATGGGGGATGTGGGGATGGTTAATAGGTTCAACCAATTTTTGAAAGAATAAGATCTAGTATTTGAAAGTACAACAGGGTGACTATAACAACTTAATTGTACGTTTTTAAGTACCTAAAAGAGTGTAATTGAATTGTTTGTAACTCAAAGGATAAATGCTTGAGGGGATGGATACCCCATTCTCCATGACGTGCTTATTTCACATTGCATGTCTGTATCCCAACATCTCATGGATCCCATAGATATATTCACCTACTATGTACCCACAAAAATTAAAAATTGAAAGATACATTCTTTTCCATGAAACGTATATTCCATTATATTTACATACCACATTTTCTCTCCTCATTTGTGGATGAACAATTGGGTTGTTCCTACCTCTTGGCTATTATGCTTAATGCTACTATGAGCATTGGTATTCAAGTATCTGTTTCATTTCCTGCTTTCAATTCTTTTTTTTTAAATGAGACATTTATTTCACTACAATACAAAAAAAAAATGATAACTAGGACAGGTGACAGGTGTGTCACCTAACTTGTGTTAATAATTTCACAATATATATCAAATCATCACATACTACACTCTAAACTTACACAGCTTTATTTCTCAACTATCTCTCAAAAAGTCTGGGGGAAATATGAGACGTTTAATATTGAAGGAAAGGAAACTAAGTTGGTAACACTAGACATATACATTGTGTGTGTGTGTGCATATATATATATATATATATATATATGGATATACACACGCATACGATGGAATATTATTCAGCCTTTTTTCTTCATGCCCAGGTTTATTAAAAAGTGTTCTTCTAAAGATAATGTTACTGAATGTTTATATTTATTTATTTTATTTAATAGCTTTAGGGGTCCAAGTGGTTTTTGGTTACGTGGATGAACTGTATAGTGGTGAGGTCTGAGATTGTGGTGCACCTGTCACCGAAGTAGTATATGTTGTACCCAAAATGTAGCGTTTTAATCCTCCATCTCCTTTCCCCTTCGGAGTCTCCAATGTCCATTCCTCCACTCTGCCTTTGTGGACCCTCAGCTTAGCTCCCACTTATACCTGAGAACATAGGAATGTGGCTTTCCCTTCCTGAGTTACTTCACTTAGCATAATGGCCTCCAGCTCCCCTGCTTTCCATTCTTTTGGGTAACCTAGGAATGGAATTGCTGGACCATGTGACAATTCTATATGCGACTCTTGGAGGAACTGCCACACTCCTTTCCACAATGACTATGCCATTTTACATTCCCACCAGCAACGCACACGGACTGCAATTCCTCCACACCCTTGCCAACACTGATTTTCTGTTGTTGTTTTAATAGCTACATCCTGCTGGCTAGGAAGTGGTACCTTCTTGGGGTTTGCTTTGCATTTCTCTAGCAACTAATGATGCTGAGTATCTTTTCACGTGCTCCTTGGCTGTGCATATATCTCCGCTGGAGAAATGTCCATAAGATTCCTCTGCCCATTTGTGAACTGGGTGTGGTGATGGTTGTTGACTTACAGGAGTTCTTTATATATTCTGGATATTAATCATAGACATATGATTTACAAATATTTTCTCCCATTCTATAGGTTGTTTTTCAACCTCCTGATAGTGTCCTTTGTCATATAAGATTGCCTTTTCATTTGTAGGGAATACTTCATCAGTCTTCAGTTTAACTAATTTTTCTTTAGCATCTGTGGTTCAGAAGCCTTCTAACATAGGCTATACCTGTGAAGAGAGCCTAACGATGAGAGTGGCCCATGATTCCCTGTGCTGTTTTGTGTTAAAGATACTTGTCCAATATGATCCTTATTAGACTGCTAACCAGTCATTGGCTGGGGAAAACTTCAGGGGCTATTGTTAAGTGCATTTTCTGTGTATTGTCGAGGAACAAATTTCTTTTGAAATCAAGCATAACCTATGATAAGGAAGATGATGAAGCCAACTCTATTATGATGCCTTCTGGGTATCATGTGTGGTTTAAAGAAACATGATCCTGGCCAGGCACAGTGGCTCATGCCTGTAATCCCAGCACTTTGGGTGATCTGAGGCAGGCGGATCACCTGAGGTCGGGAGTTCGCGACCAGCCTGGCCAACATGGCGAAACCCCATCTCTACTAAAACTACAAAAAATTAGCCAGGCATGGTGGTGCGTGCCTGTAATCCCAGCTACTTGGGAGGCTGAGGCAGAAGAATCACTTGAACCCAGGAAGCAGAGGTTGCGGTAAGCCAAGATTGTGCCACTGCACTCCAGCCTGGTGACAGAGCAAGACGCTGTCTCAAAAAAAGAAAAGAAAAGAAAAGAAAAGAAACATGATCTCCATGATCCTACAGTTCTCACAAAATGCACCAACTGGATAACTGGACTGGCACTTGGCACAAAGAACAGTGCATAGTAATTGGAAGGAATTAAAAGGAAATTAAGCTGAAGAATGCTTTCCATTACCAATACAAGCCTGAGAAAAGACGTTACACAGAAGCCACAACTCATACATTAAGTAACTTAAGGGAGAATCTACAAAATTTTAAAGGAGAATGATGTGGAGGAATTATCCATTTCTTGAAAAAGAATTAAGATTAGAGTTTTTTAGTGATGTTTATTTTGTTTGAAAAGAAGGTAGCTATTGTTGCACAATTCTTGCATCTTTTAAGTTGGTACGTTTGATAAGCTATTCATTTCTGACATGGGATAAATGTAGTTTGTGTTCAGGCTCTAATCACTGTTATCCCTGCAAGACCCTAACTGAGCCGTTTCTCAAAGTCCTGCTGCGGATAAGAAGATAAGGAAATAGGGGGCCGGGCTTGGTGGCTCACATCTGTAAACCCAGCACTTTGGGAGGCCGAGGCAGGCTGATCACTTGAGGTCAGGAGTTTAAGACCAGCCTGACCAACATGGTGAAACCCCGTCTCTACTAAAAATACAAAAATTAGCCAAGCGTGGTGGCGTGTGCCTGTAATCCCAGTTACCTGGGAGGCTGAGGCAGGAGAATCGCTTGAACCTGGGAGGTGGAAGTTGCAGTGAGCTGAGATTGCGCCACTGCACTGCACTCCAGCCTGGGTGACAGAGTGAGACTCCATCTCAAAAACACAAAACAAAACAAACAAACAGAAGCAGCTAAGGAATTAGGAATTAATCACATCTGACTCATGCTACTCATGCCACCTCTTTGGTCCCTTTTGTTTGTCTGTTTTAGCTTCAAAACATCTCAGAGCTTTTCAGGAGTGCTGCGAAGGGACTTGGTGAGTTGCCTGGATGGCCCAAATGTCACTCCTGCCACCTCCTTCCTGGAGAACTGCGTAGGATGGGCAGATGCCACTTCTCTTCTTCCTGTATAGCCAGGACCTAACACAGTGTCCGGCATAAAGTCGTCTTTCTATAAGTATTTAAATAAGTATCTACTGGGTGTACCTCTCCATCACAAGAAGTCTCCAGCTTCCCAACCCTACAGCTTCCAAAGCATCATCTTTTCTTTTTCTTCCTAGGAGCCACAGTCAGAATAAAACCAAAGCAGGCCAGGCACGGTGGCTCACGCCTGTAATCCCAGCACTTTGGGAGGCCGAGGCAGGCAGATTGTCTGAATCCAGGAGTTTGAGACCAGCCTGGGACACATGGCGAAACCCCATCTCTATTAAAAATATTTAAAAAAGTAGCCGGGCATGGTGGCACACGCCTGTTGTCCCAGCTACTTGGGAGGCTGAGTCAGGAGGATAGCTTGAGCCCAGGAGGTTAAGGCTGCAGTGAGCCGAGATCGTGCCACTGCACTCCAGCCTGGGCAGAGTGTTTCAAAAAAAGAAAGAAAGAAAACCAAAGCAGACGATGCTGCCTTGGGCTGGAAGGAGTGCCTAGCATAAGGCTCACGGTCCCTCCTACGTCACAGCAGAGAGATGCTTTCAGCCTCCCATCACATCCTAGAGGACAAGCCATGACCTGCTTCGTTCTGCACAGCTCACAGTCTTCAAGGGTGGATCACAGCAGAGACATTTTACACCAACATTACCATCAGGCCCCTCCTGATGTACAACGTTCCCCGAAGAGGAACAGTCAGAACCACTGCTGTGCCCTCAATTTGAGGCCAAGACTCTGGCCAAGCCACTCAGACCCCGCTGTTAGCTGTGTCTGGGTTACCACCCCCAGGCTATCCTTATACTGATGCTGCACAGGTACAAAGGTCTCCAGAGCAAAAATGTTTGATCCCAACGGGATATTTGAGTTAAAAGGGCGGATAACCCTTTTAACTTGACCGTACCATTTGGTACGGTCAAGTTAAATACCTCTGGCATGTAAAAAAGGTGTTTCAAAAAGGGCCACAAGCGTCATCTCTGCTTGCCGAGGAAGCAGCCGCCTATGTGTTAGCCTTTGGGAGGTCTTGTTACAAAGCCTAAACCTGTCCCATCCTCATTCCTTTGCAGTAACACACAGAAAGCCTTATTCAAACAAATAAGCTACCTCCGATTGTTCATTCAACAAGCATGTATTAAGAACCTAGGGTACAGGAACCCCTCCAAGGGCTTTAATTCGGCTGACCAGTTGCTCACTTGCCTAGAAGTCTCAGTGTATGCCTATCACCCTGCATCCTGTCTGGTTTATTTTGTCCTGGATTTTTCATTTCTTTATTCAAAATACAAGTAGTTATTACTAAGACTTATTAAAATGAGATGGAAGAATTGGATAGACTTTCACTTTCTATTTCAGTGGTCTCATCTAGGAACATATGAGGTTATGTGCAGTGAACAGAGTTAGCACTTTAAGACATAATGTCAGGAGTTCAAGACCAGCCTGGCCAATATGGTGAAACCCCATCTATACTAAAAACAAAAAAAATTAGCCAAGTGTGGTGGCACCTGCCTGTAATCCCAGCCACTTGGGAGGCTGAGGGAGGAGAATTGCTTAAACCCAGGAGGCAGAGGTGCAGTGAGCTGAGATTGCACCACTGCACTCCAGCCTGGGCGACAGAGAGAGACTCCGTCTCAAAAAAAAAAAAAAAAAAAAAAAGGACATAATGTTCCAGCCAGGAGCAGTGGCTCATGCCTCTAATGCCAGGACTTTGGGAGGCTGACCGCGGGTGGATCACTGGAGGTCAGGAGTTTGAGACCAGCCTGGGCAACATGGTGAAACCCCAGCTCTACCAAAAATACAAAAATTAGCTGGGCATGGTGGTGCGTGCCTGTAGTCCCAGCTACTTGGGAGGCTGAGGCAGGAGGATCACTTGAACTCGGGAAGCGGAGGTTGCAGTCCTGGGTGATGGAGAAAGACTCAGTCTCAAAAAAATAAAAAATAAAAAAAAGATATAATGTTCCAAGCTGAGAAACTTATTATGCTGAAATGTACCTGTAATTGATGTACCTATGTAATTCATAACTGAGCTCAAACACAGTTCTAATTCTACCCAGAGAAGCACAAGCTATAGTTTTTGAAATGTGTAAAATTTACATAAACTGAGAGTAACTGAACTACAAAAATTTTTTATGAAGTTTAAATTGGATTAAAAACATTTCATCAGTAGAGTGTGCGGTTCTCTCTTTGCTGCCTGTCAAGTTGGATTTGAGAAATATTTGACACTTGAAATAATGAAATGATAGGAAATTGCTGACATTAGGCAGCTTTTAACTTTAAAACATACTTCATGAGTCAATCCAAATGCTCTACAAAAAAAGTACTCCAGTTTTGGAAACAAGTCATCTAAATTTTGATGGCTTGTGGTTCAAAATAAGTTGTAATCCATAATCAAGTGTTCAACCAATGAAACACAAAAAGCTCAGCCTCTGAAGCCTGTAATGAATTGCAATGATTAAAAACAAAATTTGCAAACAGGGGACCCTGAAATATAGATGACAAGAGCTCAAACTGTATAGAAGATTAAAATGTGAAATTCTACAAGTATGCTCTGGAAATTGACTTGTGGGAAGATCCTTTGAAACTTTAACACACAATATTCTCACTGAATTGAGAAATGTATTTCACTGAAATAAACTTGTAATTGGTGGTTGTATGAATAAATTCACACTTATTTTTAACCAAACTGTGATATTCTATCAAGAGAAACAGAAGCCACAGTTATCAAAAACAGATGGTTTGATGTGTTAATGCACATAAACATATATGTAAATATATAGGTAAGGCAGTTGGATTATGTGAAGGAGAAAAACGCCCTGACATTAACAATAGAAAAAATAGTGTTAAGAAAAATACTACTGAAGTGGTATTAGAAGATAGTGAAGACAATGATTAAAATACACAAAAGTATATTAAGTGATTATTCTGCTTATTTTTTAATGTCCAGATAAACAATATAAAGCAGTTTTAACCTTTTTCTACTTTGATGTATTTTCTTTTATTAAGAAAGCATTTCATGTTTGAAAGTAATTTTTGAATAGAACTGTTTTATAGGTTCACCAATATAGACGGCTGTGTCAGAAAATATTTCGAAACATGAAATAATAATAATTAAGTGTCCCTTTTCACTCTCAAAAGTGGCTTCGATAATAAGTTATATGATCTCCTTACTTATTTAAAAGAAGGAGAGGTGTGTAACAGGAAAAAAATAAAAGCAAAGGAGCAATATGATAGGCTGGGTTCCTAGGAAAACCTTCTTACCAAGTACAGTTAAATGTTGTGGATTTTTTTTTTTTTTTGAGATGGAGTTTCACTCTTGTTGCCAAGGCTGGAGTGCAATGGCGTGATCTCGGCTCACTGCAACCTCCACCTCCCGGGTTCAAGCGATTCTCCTGCCTCAGCTGCTGGGATTACAGGCGCCCGCCACCATGCCCGGCTAATTTTGTATTTTTACTCGAGACAGGGTTTCTCCATGTTGGTCAGGCTGGTCTCGAACTCCCGACCTCAGGTGATCTGCCTGCCTCGGCCTCCTAAAATGCTGGGATTACAGGCGTGAGCCACCATGCCCGGCCGTGGATATTATTTTTAAGTCTTAGTAAATGCATTGTTGAACCTGCAAAAAGGTAAAGAATCCTCAGGCCAAAAAAAAGCAAGTGAAGTTGGGAACTCAAGATAAATAAGCAGAACAGGCAAGCTTTCTTTCACCCCAAAGACATCTGCCCAGCCAGGTAACACCCTGCTGAGTTTTATGTGGCAGCAGTCAAAGCTGGAGGCCTGCTCCACATGTGAATTTTCACAGGAAAATCAACCCCCAATAATTGTCCCTTGTAGGTATTCAAGACATGACTGTCTTGAAATAAGCACTGAGCAGAGGGGAAAGAAACTGTCCTGAGAATTGCGAACCCTGGTCTGAATTACATGCAGGTTTGCACGCTTAGTTCTCCATATCTGGGTGGTCAAAAATATTTCAAGCTGAGAATGTAATTTAGACTATCCTCAACTGGCACCTGGTAGAAGTAAACACAAATGCTGTCTGGAGTAAACTATCTTTATCCCAGAGCTTGCAGAATTCTCACAAATAAAATGCCAGTGAAAATGAGTAGCCCCCAGACACAAATAAACAAAGAAACACGGCACCATGAGAAAGAGCCAGCAGAAACCACAGATGCAAGAATGAGATGTTCAAACCTAGATCACAAATAAACAACAAAAAGTTGATTAACATGTTAGAGACAATTAAACTGTTTAAAGAAATAAACAAAAAAAAATCACAAATGACGAAATTTCTGCTTCTGGCCATCTTTGAAAAATAGAAACTGGATTTACCCTCCAACCTTAAGCAACTAGAAAACCAAACAAACTATAAGAAAAAAAAATGGGTTTCTGATACTGGGTAACAAGCAGCAGAGGAAAGTCATGTCTGAGAGAAGGGAAAAAAGATGAGCTGAGCCTTGTAAGTGCCCCAGCTTACTGCCAGGAGAGAGGTTCCAGGCCCCCAAACACGACAGGGGACCCAAGCAGAGCCAGGCAGCCACATCCTTCTGAACAAGGAAAAGTCCAGACTTTGGGGAGATCAGGGCAGCTAAAATTTGTAGGACAAAATAGCAGAAGGGAAGAATGGAGAGAGATGCAAAGAAAGAATTGGAGAGATAGAAGAGGGGAAAGAGAATAAGAGAGAAAAAAAAAAAAGACAGAGATGACCTGAGAGCAAGCAAGAGCTCTCTGGAGCCCTCTGGTTGAGCTCTAATCCACATGTGTACAAAAAAACAAGCAAGGCCACAGAAAGGAGAGTTGGAATAATCCTTGAAGCCAAGAAGGGATTGGAAGTCTGTGTTCAAGCAGACAGAGTGAGGAGATCTGTTTATACCCAGGGCATGCGTGTGTGTGTGTATATCACTGGGTTATATATATATTGGGTGTGTGTGTGTGTGTGTGTATATATCATTGGGTGTATATGCATATTGGGTGTGTGTGTATATGTATCATTGGGTTTATATATATATTGTATATATATGTATCATTGGGTGTATATATATATATAGGGTGTGTGTGTATATATATATCATTGGGTGTGTATATATATTGGGGGTGTGTGTATATATATCATTGGGTGTACATATATATATTGGGTGTGTGTGTATATATGTATCATGGGGTGTATATATATATATCGGGTATGTGTATGTATATATCACTGGGTGTATGTGTGTGTGTATATATATATGGTGTGTGTGTATATATCACTGGGTGTATATATATATAGGGTGTGTGTGTATATATATCATTAGGTGTGTAAATATATATAGGGCGTGTGTGAGTATATATATCATTGGGTGTATATATATTGGGTGTGTGTGTGTATAGATATATCATTGGGTGTATCTATATAGTGTGTGTATATTATATATATCATTGGGTATATATATATTGGGTGTGTGTATTATGTCATTGGGTATATATATATGGGGTGTGTGTATGTATATATCATTGGGTATATATATATATTGAGTGTGTGTATGTATATCATTGGGTGTATATATATGGGGGTATGTGTGTATGTATATCATAGGGTGTGTGTAATATATATCATTGGGTGTATATATATTGGGTGTGCATATTATTTATGTCATTGAGTATATATATATGGGGTGTGTGTATGTATACATCATTGGGTGTATATATATATTGAGTGTGTGTGTGTATGTATATCATTGGGTGTATATATATGGGGGTATGTGTGTATGTATATCATAGGGTGTATATATATATGGTGTGTGTAATATATATATCATTGGGTGTATATATATTGTGTGTATGTGTATATATATCATTGGGTGTATACATATAGGGTGTGTGTATATATAACACTGGGTGTATATATATTGGTGTGTGTGTATATATGTATAACATTGGGTGTGTATATATATATTGAGTGTGTGTGTCTATATATAACATTGGGTGTATATATATATTGGGTGTGTGTGTATATATATATCATTGGGTGTATATATATATTGGGGGTGTGTATATATATATATAACATTGGGTGTATATACATATTGGGTATGTGTGTATATTGTATATAACATATATGGTGTATATAATGGATGTACATATATATGTGAGTGTATGTAAATCATTCCTCAGCGTCCTCAGAAGGTTACTGCGCTAACAGTGGGATCAAAGCAGCCCTAGGCTGTGCTGCACCTGCCTTTGCAAGGCTTAAAAGGCTCAAAAGGAACAAATTCCAAGTAACTTAACTGTGGCGATTAGTAAATACATTTCTAAATAACCCACGGATCACAAAATAATTAAAATGGGCCAGGCACAGTGGCTCACACCTGTAATTCCAGCACTTTGGGAGGCTGAGGCAGGGAGTGGATCACTGGAGGCCAGGAGTTTGAGACCAGCCTGGCAACATGCAAAACCCCATCTCTACTAAAAATACAAAAATTAGCTGGGCATGGTGGCAGGCGCAAACAATCCCGGCTACTCGGGGGGCTGAGGCAGGAGAATCACTTGAACCCAGAAGACAGAGGTTGCAGTGAGCCAAGATCATGCCACTGCACTCCAGCCCGGACAACAGAGTGAGACTCTGTCTCCAAAAAAAAAAAAAAAGAAAAAAGAAAAGCCAGGGATGGTGGCACACGCCTGTAGTCCCAGCTACAGGAGGTTGAGGCAGGTGGATTGCTTGAGCCCAGCAGGTCAAGGCTGCAGTGAGCCAAGATCGCACCACTACACTCCAGCTTCAGTGACAGAATGAGACCCTGTCTCAAAAAATGATAATTACAATGAGAAATGGAAAATATTTTGAGTGAATGATAGTGAAAATACCTGTCATTACCAGAACTTGAGGATACAGACAAAGCAGTACTTAGAGAGCAACGTAGGTGCTTACAGAACAAGAAGGGGAAACTGCCAAGCTAAGTAGCCACCTTAAGATGAGAAATAAAGAATGGCAAAGTAGGGCTGGGTGCGGTGGCTCATGCCTGTAATCCCAGCACTTTGGGAGGCCAAGATGGGAGGATCACTTGAGCTCAGGAATTCAAGACCAGCCTGGGCAACACAGTGAGACCCTGGCTCTAGAAAAAAATTTTTAAAAATTAACCAGGCATGGTGGTGCACACCTGTAGTCCCAGCTACTCAGGATGCTGAGGTGGGAGGATCGCTGTTGAGCCCGGGAGATCAAGGCTGCAGTGAGCTATGACCACATCACTGCATTCTAGCCTGGGTGACAAGACCTTTGTCTCCCCTACCCGCCCCCCCAAAAAATAGCAAACAACAGAAATTAATAAATGGCAAATGAACATGCCGTAAAGAAAATTAGCAAAGGGCAATGTTATTAAGACTGTGGTAACAGCGCAGGGCTAGAGAACCCAGAGACAACTCCACACAGAGTCACTTAAATGACTGAAAGATCGTTCCTGGTCAGTGGGGTCTCAATGAGTGGTGCCTGCAGAAGGTATCCAGAGTTTACAAAGAATTCCTATGAATCAATTAACAAAAAGCTAAGCAACTGTACAGAAAAGCAGGCAAAAGACATGAACAAGAACTATACAGAGAATAATAAACATGAAAAGATACTCAACCTTAGCAGTCATCAGGAAAATTGCAAATTAAAATTACAATGACATACCATTAAATATTCACCTAATGGCCAAAAACTTTAAAAATCAAACAATACAAATATTGACAAGGTTGGGAATAGTGGGAACTCTCATATATCTTTAGACTCTTATCAGATACTGGAGTTTTGATTTGACCGAAGACAGCACATGACCTTACCACAGGGCTTCGTGGGAAGGAGCACCTGCAGGAAAGATGCCTTTTGGGGTAGGTACAGAGTCAACTGAGGCCCAGGGCGTTGGGGATTTGCAACAAGGTACAGGCAGGAGGATGGGGGTGGAAAGTGGCAGTATGGGGCATTCTTGGAGAGCACAAAGGTACCGGGTACCTGTGGGGTGGGGACACAGCACTAAGTGGGGAGGTGGTGAGGAGGCCCAGAAATCTAACTTTGCTCATTTACAAGTTTGTCCCTTACCAGTTCCACTATCAGTGATGAGTCAGGAGTGGCTGCTGGTATTTCTGTTACCTGCTTCTGCATGCTCCAGGCCACTGTGACAAAGGAGATTTCGAGGAAACCTCCTTAGACACATTTGTAGTGCTGGTCCCATGAGACTGCCATGAACATGCGATGACTGAGTATATATAAAGAACCGAGTCTAGAGCTTGGCGCTAGCAGGCACTGCACTGCACTACCAAAGTTTGAGTGATGGTGATGATGATGATGATCATGATGATAAAGTCAGTGATTTCCTGGCACAGTTTGGCACAGAGAAGTAATGAGGCTGGGAAGTACCAAGAGAAAAAAGAATAACCCTCATAACAAATGACACCACCACAAAAAATATCCTCAAAGCATGGGAGTCTGACTTCCAGGCCCCGAGTTAAAGCCATCATCAAGGTGGCTTAGTTGTCACAAGAGGCTCATCTCGTGGCCCTGCGCACCTGGTTGCCCAGGAAACGGGAACAAATCATATCAGCCCAGCGGTGGGTGCTCTACGTTGTCGCCCAGTGAGTAAAATCTCAAAAACGATAGAGCCCAATATGGTTTGGATGTTCATACCCTCCAAAGCTCAGGTTGAAATGTGATTCCCAGTGTTGGAGGGGGGGCCTGGCGGGAGGTGGCTGGATCCTGGGGGAAGATCCCTCCTGAATGGCTTAGAGCCATCCCCTGTTGATGAGTGAGTTCTCGCTCTATTAGTTCACATGAGATCCAGCTATTTCAAAGAGTCTGGGACCTCCCCCTTCTCTCTCTCTTGCACCCTCTGTTGCCATGTAACACACCTGCTCCCCCTTCACCTTCCATCTTGATTATAAGCTTCCTGAGGCCTCACCAGAAGCAGATGCCGGCACCATGCTTCCCGTACAGCCTGTGGAACTGTGAGCCAAAAATAAACCTTTCTCCTTAGAAATTACCCAGCCTCGGGTATTTCTTTACGGCAAGATGAGAACAGCCTACTGCATTCCTTTGGAGCACTGCTTGCGACTGGACTGCCCCAGCCTCAACATGACAGCAGGAGTTTATGCTCTGGATCTCAGGCTTTGGAGCTTCTGGCTCATGTCATTTTCTACTCAAATGTATATAGCAAGAAGGCTTGGTAGGATGGGATTTTGCCATATACACTCACAACTTTAGAGATAGTTTGAAATGCATCAGCAACCCCTTTCCTATTGTGGATCCTGGGCCTGGACACGTGGCTGGCACAGCTGTCCTCCGGATTCCGCAGGGAAACACCGGCCCCCCCATCTGGCCCCGTGCAATGATGCACTGAGGTTTGTTTCACCTGCATCTCTGATGGCCTATAGGCATTCACGTCCCTTTCCTCGTGGAGGAACAAGACGGAGGATAGTGGGTTGAATGTGAGGTTGGCCTGAGACAAAAGCTCAGCTGCTTCTGGACACACAGAGTGTATTTTCAGTGTATCAGAGGATGCTGGCCAGGGTCAAACTTGACAATCAAGAAAGCAATGGGAAGTTCTGGTTTACAAACTTGGGTTCGCTGGTACCATATGCTAAGCAACTTAGCTGTGAGGCTGGTCATACCCTAAGTGTGAACACCCATGTGCCGGGGTCTGTATTACACTACGAAAGGCACACAAAAAGTCCTGGAAGAGACTTGCACATCATTTTCATCATTCTCAGAGCTCTTCAGTATACCAAATACCTTCATCTGCAGGATCTCATTCACTCCTCGTGACGAGCTGTCTGCCACCCCCTCTGCATTTCACAGATGGAGCCTCGGGGCTCTCAGGTCACACAGGCAGCCCGCGAGGAGCTGGGGCTGGAACTCAGGTCCCCCCAGTCTGATCTGTGAGCTTTTCCCCACACCTCAGCCAGAGGCTAATGTGGGGACTGAAAGGGAAGGTGCTGGAGCCCCACTGTGTTTGAATCCTAGCTTGCCAGTATCGTGCATGGGACGTGGGCTCCTTTCATCTGTTTCTTCATCTATAAAATAGGAGTAATCACAGCATCTATCCCTGGATACCCGAAGAAGCTATCCAGAGCTTACACCCAGCCCTATTTTGCTATTCTTTATCTCCCATCTTGACGTGAGGTTGACGTGAGGGTGAAAAGAGAATCTTTGTCCTGTGGAGAGCCTGGGCTCACACTGCAAATGCTCACATGCTGGTAAGAGAATCTTCGTCCTGTAGAGAGCCTGGGCTCACACTAGCAAATGCTCACACTCTGGTGAGAGAATCTTCGTCCTGTAGAGAGCCTGGGCTCACACTGCAAATGTTCACATGCTGGTAAGAGAATCTTCGTCCTGTAGAGAGCCTGGGCTCACACTGCAAATGCTCACACTCTGGTGAGAGAATCTTCGTCCTGTGGAAAGCCTGGGCTCACACAGCAAACGCTCACACACTGGTAGCTCTGCTAGGCCTGTTGCTTTTGTACAACACCCATGGCTCCAAGACCACATGGGAGAGGTCCCTGGAAAGAGAACTCAGTGCTCAAAGGGTGACTCTGACTCCAACCAAAAGGCTTTTAGAGGCATCATCGCTTCTTTCCATTCACAGATTATAGGCTCAAATGAAGGACTTTGGTGAAGAAAAACCCGTGGCTTTTGGAAAGGTCCAACTGAATGGTGTTTCAAGGTGGCTATTACCTTTTTCCCAAAGGCAATTATCAAGCAGGGGCCGAGCTGGGTTTCATTATTCCAGCAAGAAATCAAGCCAAGAGGTTTGCTTTTTCAGAATGTGACTGTCAAACAGGCCACCATGGGAGAGCTCTGGGCTGTGGATTCCTCCGGTTCCCTAGAGTGGGTCAAGGCTGAATGACTCAGAAGAGGGACACACCAGCAGGCAGGGCCCTGGGCTTGAAAACAGAGAAACTCCCATCTCACTCACAATGGTCTTTTGCAAAACGTTCATTAGAACAGCTGATGAAGCTCCATCCACACATAGTCTAAGTGTCCTTCTTGGCACCAGGCACGTGGTCTTCTAGATGTAGCTCAAAATTAGGGAGCTCAGTATGATACCAAATGGTAGGCTACCAACCCAAACCTGGGGACATTAACCAGCGAAGGCCTCTCCTTAGAGCACTAATGCATGCCCAGAACTCCCCTGTACTTAGATCCTCAGGACACCAGCGCCAAATCCATGTGATAAATGACTATTACTAACAGGCAGTTTCAGTAATTCAAGCTTTGGGGTAAATTCTAAGACCTATTTGCTTCCACCAAATTCTAGACATGTGGAGAGTTGTAGTCATAAATAGGAATCTATACCTGCATCTTGTGTTTATTATTATTGCCATAGAAAAAATATTCACAGCTGACTTGCTGGAACTTTTTTTTTCTGAGATGGAGTCTCGCCCTGTTGCCCAGGCTGGAGTGCAATGGCGTGATCTCGGCTCACTGCAACCTCCACCTCCCGGGGTTCAAGCGATTCGCCTGCCTCAGGCTCCTGAGTAGCTGAGATTACAGGCATGTTCCACCACGCCTGGCTTTTTTTTTTTTTTCTTGTATTTTTAGTAGATATTGGGTTTTGCCATGTTGGTCAGTCTGGTCTTAAACTCCTCACCTCAAATGATCCGCCCTCCTTGGGCTCTCAAAGTGCTGGGATTACAGGCGTGAGCCACCGCGCCCGGCCTACTTGCTGGAACTGCTTACCTCTTTCCTTGAATGTACTTGATAATGTGACTTTTAACTGCTTTATGCCTTGTACTCTAATTTGTGCACATTTTTTCCTCTGTCCTACTGGTGCAAAAGCTCTCTGCATTAGCCCTAATGCTTAGACTAGTACTGTATATTTTGAAGATGCTTGATAAATTTGTCAAAATAACCCAGTAGAGCAAATATATGTTTGCTATTTTATCTGGCTCAGAAAATAGGGTTATAGCTTCAGTGCCTCTTCTCATCCTAAACAGGTGACAATACCACAAAACATATACTTTATCCTAGTTTAGATTGGGGATCCGATGGCCACAGGAAGCCTGCGGGCACAAAGGTGTCCTCTGGGAAGCTGGGCAGGCTACCACAAAGTTGAAGGTGGGTGTCAGACTCATATCTGTCACTAAAGATGCAAGGTTTAGATCAGGCTGGTTTCATTCAGATTAGTGCAAAATCGTAAGGAAGCTGAAGAACAAGATTCCATCATTATTATTTTTTTGAGACAGGGTCTTGCTCTGTTGCCCAGGCTGGGGTGTAGTGGCATGATCATAGCTGACTGCAGCCTCAACCTCCCAGGCTCACGCAATCCTCCCACCTCAGCCTGCCGAGTAGCTGGGACTACAGGCACACGCCACTATGCATGGCTACTATACTTTTAAATTTTTTTTTTGTACAGATGGAGTCTCACTATGTTGCCCAGGCTGGTCTTGAACTTGGGCCCAAGTGATCCTCCTGCCTTGGCTTCCTGAAGTGCTGGGATTACAAGTGTGAGCCACTGCATGTGCCCTCTATCATTATCTAGATGAGCTCATATGATAGGAGAGGTATATGTAAACAAATATTTAAAATATAAGTGCCTACATTAAAATACCATTTTAATGCCATTGAGTTGGAAGATGGAAACAACTTTCCTGGAGCAAAGAATTAGGAGGGGGGAAAGGAGATCAGAGAAGGCTTGAGAGGGGAGATGATATTTGAGATAAGCCTCAAAGAATAAGTAGGAAGGAATCCAAGAATTTTTAGTATTATTAATGGAAAACTGATTGGCCGGGTACAGTGGCTCCCACCTGTAATCCCAGCACTTTGGGAGGCCAAGGCAGGAGGATTGCTTGAGCTCAGGATTTCAAAGCCAGCCTGGGCAACATGGTAAAACCCCGTCTCTCCAAAAAATATAAACTATTAGCCAGGCATGGTGGTGCACACCTGTAGTCCCAGCTACATGGGAGGCTGAGGTGGGAGGATCACTTGAGCCTGGGAGTGCAGCGAGCCTTGTTGGTGTCACTGCGTTCCAGTCTGGGTGACGGAGTGACACCCTGTCTCAAAAAGAAAAGAAAACTCACAATGTAATTGACCATATTAAATGATTAATGGAGGAACCAAGTGAGCATCTCATTAGAGCAGAAATAGGTTCGATTAACTTCAACAATCAGTTTTTAAAAACTTGTTAGAAATCCACCCACAGAAGAATATTTTGCAATATCCATCTACAATGGAAAAATCGTACAGCAATGAAGATTAAGAACCTGTAGCTGTGCGCATCAAGATGGATCTCAAAAATGAAATACTGATCAAAAGAAGGTACGGAAGGGCATAGAATAGAGTATGATTTCATTTATGTAACGTTCAACAGCAGACAAAACTAAACAGTATGTTTTGGGGGGACACATACTTAGGTGGTAAAACCTATAAGACAAGCAAGGGGATCAAAACCAGAAAATTCAGCACTGTGGTCACCGCTGGAACAGGCAGGAGGGTGACGGAAGGCAGACGATCACACAAGGGCACCTGAGCTAGTGGAATGTTCTATTTCCTAACCTGGGTGGTGGGCACACAGATTTTTTGTCATTCTATAGACTGAGCAGGTGTGTTTCTACATCTGCATATGCAACACATCTTACAATCAAAACATGTCAAAGACATAAGAAGAATCTCACAAATGGAGGAGGAGCTCCAGTACAGTACTGGAGTAGGGTATGTTCTTGGTAACTATTGATTGAATGAATGAATGAGTGAGTGAATGAACAGCCGCTGGAAGCAGAAGAATCGGCATCGGCAAAGCATGTGACTGTGGGGGTGGGGTGGGGTGTTCAGTCATCTCTATGTAGTTTCTATGGTCAGAAAGGTAGGTGTGGCCCAAATTCGGAAGAGCTCCATAGGCCACAAAAGGGTTTCAACTATCCTGTAGCCAACAGGAAGCCACTGAAGGTTTTAAAGACTGAGAGACATCAGATTTGCATTTTAAAGGGGCCTTCTGGCAGCTATGTGGAATGTAAAGAAAACAAAAATCCCGTCTTCACCAAAAGAGTTCTCGGAAGGAAACAGTGGACATGGCAGGTGCCCTTAATGAAGGGAGCAGTGAACTTTGTTCACCGTGTGTATGCAGCTACTGCAATTAGTTCTCAGCGCGCGACTTCAGGCTCAGGGGTGACAAGGTCTCGTGGGAGAAACAACCCTTGATAAGCGGTTTGAAAGACACCAGCGCGGTGTTTTAAAGACAGACACATTTGACCCTCAGAAAAATGGGCATGTCAGGGCACAAAACTAAAAAAATGTATGCTTATAAATGGGAGGCTGCCAAATCTAGAAATGCCCCCAAATTTTCATTGATCTCATCGGTAGGGAGTGAAAAGAAAGAAAAGTGAGGATAAAAAGAAACAGCAACTGTGGTCATTGCCCTAAAGAACAGAGTATCATAAAGTCTCTTAAAAGCCGACTATTCCTCAAACCACCTCTACTTCTGTGGTTCTCCTTTTGTTATATCAAAATGAAATTCAGCTCTGTTTTAGTTACAAAATTACTAGGTACATTAGACAATTTGATACAACTTAACTACTCCACAAATGTAACTATTCAAAAATTGTTCAATTAGACATGAAATAAATGAAATGAATGAATGAATTACACACAAAACCTCATTTGCATGAACAAAAAAAAAAATCTGTTAATGCTCAATTGGGCCTGAACCAGTTGTGAAACAGGTGAGAATTTATGGTTGGACACTCTGACTGAAGCTCTATTAAAGCTCAAGACAGATTTTTAATGAATTAATCCCCAACACATTTGTATGCTCCATCCTGTCCAATGCCTAATTGTGCCTAAATCAAGCCATCCTTGAATAATCACAGCCCCCTGTGGGTGCCCAAGGGCGTCTTGGGCTCTCCGTACTGTCCCCAGACCAACCTAAAGCCCTCCTTCTCTGGCTGTTTTGTTTCTGGTTATGACACAACTTGTGATATGATGGTTAGTCGTCATTAAAGATCACACTCAGCTGTGGATTCAGAGTCTTGCATTTGGCTTAGTGGTTTGTCATGATTTGTGTTGGATCATCTCTATATCAAAGCAGGGAATGACAGAACAGGTGTGAGTGACTCAGGCATTTAGAGGACGGACTGTGGCAAACTTTGGAAGACACAGATGAGCGTGAGTAGAGAATGAGTGGGACTCGAGGAGGAGAGAGCTTGAGAATCACCGCTCTGTGCCATTCCTCAGCCCCACCCGACCCCTTCTTCCCTTAGTGCCGATTCAGCGCTGATGTGCGTATATTATCAGTTACTCGGTGCTCAGTGTCTGTATTCCTGCTACACTGTAAGTTGCCCAAGAATGCAGATCATCTGTTATATTCCTGGTATTTATTGTAGGGTATTTTTGAGTAAATGAATAAATGGAAAACTTAGATTTCTGCTATACATTTCTCAGATTATTTTCTCTGTATGTTTGGTGACCTCAATTAGGCTTAGAACCAGTTCCTTAAATTCCTCCACCAGTTCTTTTGGGCCAGAATCTACCTTGCTGATCAGAACAGCACCGAGTTCTATGGATGACAGAGTTAAATGTTATGAATCACGTGTGGTGTAAAATGTAAAGTGAAATTTATATCAAAGTTGGCCTTGACAATCTCTGAACGAAAACCATTCTCTCACTAAGTCCAACACAGACAAGTTTTACTCCAGCATTAAAAACATACCACCTCTCCGGCTGTGCAGCAGAAGTACTCGGCTTGCATTTAAAGGCCGTATGAAAAAGGAGTATCTTTAAATATTCAAATCACGCCCCAGTCACTGGGATACACAGATACAACTGGGGGTGCAGCAGCATCGAACCCCCACCCCAGGCTCATTCTCAGGCCCATTGGACTGTTTGAGGGCAGAGTCCTTTGCCTCCTTACATCATGACTTCACTTTCGTGCAGAGCCTGTAGAATTCTCTTAAACCAAGTATTTGTATCAGGCAGCCATGCTGTGTGTTAGGCACACAAACTCTCATTGAATAAATGCATGAGGGTTCATTTCGATAGACGGTAATTATCTACTTGGTCAAAAGAAAGGATGCGTACTTTCAAAGTCAAGGAATGCACAGAAGACAGGATGGTGGCAGAACCACGTGGGTTACACGATTCTGAAAGATGATAAAACAGTGACCTTTCTGCCTTTGAAGCACGTCTCTTTGTCTACCACAGACATCGTCTCCATGGAACCTACAATATGTTTCTGAGGTGGACGAGGAGTAAGAATGATTGAGATTTTGCTGATGGAGAAATGAAAAGCTCAGGGAGAGCGTCTGAGTGTGTGAGGTTAGCCGTGGCAGGGGTGCTAGAATCCATCTCACCGGGCCTCAGCTCAGCACTAGCTCAACGGCGCAGGTTGCAATCCATCTCTTTAGAAAGCACAGCGATTCCACCACACATACTTCTCTGGGAGCTCAGTCTGAAGAAACTTCACAAATTCCAGCTGAGAGGCTGATCACCTTAATCTGCCAGTTGTGGAATTTCCCAAAGCTTCTATTCTTAGCCAGATGTTTGAGGAAAAGCTCGTGATCTCACTTGCCAGCCCTGCCGTCATTCTCACCTCTTGCTTATCTCTTCCTTACCTTTCTTGTACTCAGCAAAGCTTCAAGGCACAGCCTGGGTGATAACCTCTCCTGCTCTGACCTGAACCTATTCACTCAGGAATGCCTTTGCATACCCAGGAGGGGCGGGAGATGGAAGCTGTCTTATCAAGTGGGCTGTGCCCAGTGTCTGGTTCTCCACTGTGGGAAACGGTCACCCTTCTTATGCAGGAGCTGCTCCAGATAAATCAGGAGGCCTTCGTGGGGGTCCTGGAGCCAGAGAAAGCCTGGTGGAGTCCTGCAGTTTCTCCCATCAGTGCGGCGTGGGAAGTGGCTCCATGAACTGTCAGGCTCTTTCACGAGAAAGATTATAGCTATATTTTATTAAAGGCTCATGAAATAGGGTGAAGCTTTCTGAGAGGATACCCTCCATTGGTGGTGCCCAGAACACGGGACCCAGACTGTCAGGCCCCACTGACAGCCATTTACTGAGGTTAGGATGCCTTCTAATCTACCCGGAGCCCTGCACACAGGTTCAAAGTCAGGAGCGTCTCGTTGCTTGTTACATTCTTTTTAATTTTATTTTTTGCCCCCTCCCCACCCCTCATCATTACATTCTTACTTGGTATTTTTTGTTTAGCCCTGATAAGTAGCTTGGGTCCTGAAAGGAAGATTTATTTCCCTTTTTTACCTTTCGTATTTTACATTCTTCATTACCATGGGTATCTAGCCATCAGCCTGGCTTAGCAATCACAGAAACAGGTGAGACCAGGAGACCGACCTGAATGTATGAATTGGCTACCATCAGCCCTGCCCCTCGGGTCTGTGCCTTCATTCATTCACTCACTTAGAGGCAGGGTCTTGCTCTGTTGTCCAGGCTGGAGTGCAGTGATACGATCATAGCTTACTGCAGCCTCAACCTCCTGGGTTCAAGCGATCCTTCCACCTCAGCCTCCCAAGTAGCTTGGACTACAGGTATGAGCCACCATGCCCAGCTAGTGTTTTAATTTTTTTTTGTGGAGACGAGGTCTCCTTATGTTGTTCAGACTGGTCTCAAACTCCTGGGCTCAAGTGATCCTCCTGCCTAGGCCTTCCAAAGTGCTGAGATTATAGGTGTGAACCACTGTGCCCAGACTGTGCTTTTACTTATAATCAACTACACATATGCAAGCTTTGCTGGTATGTTTGATCCTCTGTTGTACCCCACTTGTTATTGCAACAAATGTTGACCGAGCACAATATTCCAGAAACTGTACTCGGTGGGGGGTGATAAACTGGGAGGCAGTGAGGCCCTGTTGCCTATTAGCTGTGTGAACTTGGACAAGATACTCAACCTTTCTGTGTCTCAGTTTCCCCATCTGTGATACTAGTATGATTACAGTACCTATGTCACAGGTTGTCAGAATGAAATATCCATAAGGCATTTAGCAGAGCTTGTGAGGCACAGTGAGAACAACGCCCGGCTGTGGTGCTCACGATGGGAAATACTCTCACCGGGGGCTCATTTATGCACCGTGCTAACTACCTTCCATGTAGCTGAAATGCCAGGAAATAAGTACTAGAAATCATTTTCTCCTCCTCCCTGTGGTCCAGCAAGTCCACGAATTAGGAACTTCTACCCCTTTAGCAAGATCAAGATAGAGTTCCCGCTCTCGGTTCTGCCCTTCTATTCACTTCCTCCAAGGGAGGAAGGAAGAAGGTCTGACTGCTGAGGCTGGTGAACGTGAGCCTGGGTGACAGCTGGCGCTGTCTGCCTGTCCCTCCCCTGCAGGCCACACCATTCTCTCCTCCACTGAGGCCGTGGGGTTGGGGAAGGGGCTGTCTACCCTTTCCTACTCTGCTAGGATTAGCAGGCTTTTCATTCCCAATCATTCTCTTGTATCTATCTGATCATTGGTTCAGAATTCAGAAAGACTTTAATAGTAACCCCAGACATTAGACATAAAGGAAGATACACTTGAAAGGCCAAAAGGGAAAGGAAGACGCCTTCCAATTTCTACCCAGCCCCGAGACCATCATGTGCCATTACGCCACAACGGCTGCTGCAGTGGACAGACAAAAACATGAGCCGTGGCTTTGCCGCCAAGAGATGATGACAGAGCTGGGGCCTGATATTCTGTTCCCAATTCAGTGAAGCTCTGAGAGGGGCCAGAATGTGGTCCTCTTAAGAATGAAAAGGACGAGGTGTAGAGTTCATGTGTCAAACTAGCGGCAGAACAACCAAAGCTTGAACCCAGTGTTTGTGACCCCGGCCGATCCCCAGACGGTGTCATTTCTCCCTGAGTGACTGGCGTGGTTCTATAATGAGCCTGGCAGAATTAATGTAGTGGCAGCTTCTGCCTCAACTCTTAAGAAAATAATAACAATCTCTCGAGATTTCTATAGCTAAATATGAAGATACCGCTAGCCAAGGAAGCAAACAGAGCTAAGGGGGAAAAATAAAAGCAAGTGAGAATGCTAAAAATCTCATAGAAAAGGGACTTCGATGTCCCAGCGACATTCTGAACTCACATTCTCTGCATCCTAACCATCACTAAAATGTATAAAAATGAGTATTTCTAAAGCAGCAATACTAAGAATTATCATTGCTGCAGTTGCCTGGCAACCTGAGACTTTGGTTATTTTATTTCTAAATAGGGAACGCTCTAAACTGGTATCTAGAGTTTGTGCAAATAGTTCTAAATTGATATTCTCCCTGTAAATCAGGGGGAGAAAATACAGCATTAATGTACATTTAAAGGAGGTTAAATATGCATATGTCTCTCTCACACACACACACACACACACACACACACACACACACACACACACACACAGATTCTTACATGAACCTCTCCGTTTCATGCTATCTTAAACAAATCTGGAGAACTGATACTCCTTTGCATTTTTCCTGGCAAATATCTACTTAATTTCATGGTACGTCTAAGTAATATACATCCAAGTCCTGAGGAAGAGCCTTTCCTCTCCTGTGTGAGATGGGAATTCAATGCCATGGCTCCGCAGTCCCAAACCCTTTTACCTTTTTGGCACCAGGGACAGGTTTCGTGGAAGACAATTTCTCCATGGACCCAATGGGAGTAGGGAATGGTTTGGGGATGAGACTGCTCCACCTCAGATCATCAGGCATTAGATTCTCATAAGGAGCGCACAGGCTAGATCCCTCGCACACACAGTTCACAATAGCATGAGGTTCCTATGAGAATCCAGTGCCACCACTGATCAGACAGCCAACAGCCCTCAGGTGGTCATGCTCCCCCACTGCTCACCTCCTGCTGTGCAGGCTGGTTCCCAACAAGCCAGGGACCTGTACCAATCTGTGGCCTGGGGGTTTGGAACCCCGCTCTAGCTAACAGCAATCTTGAGCCCCTTTCCCCAGCTTCCCAGACCTTGAGTACTGGGTTTCCAGTTCTGAGAAAGGAGAGGCTAATCCCAAATCTCCATGGGCTCTAGGAGGAAGCACTTCTCCAGGCAAGGAGGGGAATGTCCACATCCTTCAGAGGCTCGTCCTGAAGTTCCTGCCAATGCTGGGCCTGCTGCCACAAGTGTGACCCACAGGTGCCAGAACCCCACCCTCTCTTGGATGAGAAGGTGCTTGCATTTTGAAAAAGCTGCCTCTACTTATGAAGTGTCATTTCCTTTCAAGTCACTGATTTGAACTTGAGCTTCTAGTGCTGCCTGCTGCTTTGAATGAACTGGTGTGTCCCGATGCTACAAGCTTAAAGATGACCTTGGTTCCTGACTCCTCACTAGGGCCTTAGGAGGAAAAGAGTTCCCATTATAGCCCCTGAGGATGGGTGTCCTCATCGCTTTTGTGGAACACAGCCTTCTGGAAGTGGATGTTGCCTGCGGTGTTTGCTCGTGGCCTGCAGCTTGGATCACAGATTGCCTCAGGCTCTACCAGAGAGAGGAGGAGGCGAGCTCAGCACAGCTGCTGAGACCCAAAGTGTCTCAGTGACTGATCTCAACAAACAAGGATTAGGTCTGGGTCTGAACCATAGACCAAACCCGTGAGAGGGAGGTGCCGGGCATCATTTCCACGACAGGATGGTTATGTAGCACCATTTTTCAAGATGACTGGGAGAAGCATCTCAGACAGGCATGACATGAGAGGGCCACAGAAGGACTTTCCATGAACTCTTGTTAAAGGGCAGCCAAGACATTAGCAACTAGCTGTTGTTTAGAAACAGAGTGTTTAGAAACACTGTGTTGGCAAATAAGCAAACAGGTCATATGACCCATTAAAGGAATTCTTTCTCCATATGGAGCAGCAGTCATCAATGAAGGTAAATGCTTCAGGGCTTGAAGGACGCCTGCATGACAGGTGTGTGCTTTCTAAGGGCCTGTGCCCTCTACAAAGCAACATCTAAGAGAACCAGAAATTCTATTTTGAGATAATTGGGTCATGGTGAGAATCTGAGTCTCGAAAAGCTGTGGTCCTTCAGATGAGCTGGGACATAACACCCGTTAGCCGAAGCTCAGTTCACCCTGACAGATCCTTGTGGCGGTTCTTCTGGGGGCCAACTCCTGTGGGATGTGCAACACTGGGTTTTGGCCTGAGAAGTCATTTCAACGCTTCTGCCTATTTTTTCTTATCCATTAAATGGGAAGATTCCTAGCACCTTGGTGCCCAAGAGCAGTAAGGAACAGCAAATGAATGTACCGAATAAAGAAAATTTGCAAATGCACTGTCAAAATGATCGAATGAGGGCAGGGTTCCCTGGAGGTGGAGGCTCTCAAAAATTAGAGAGTAATTTGTGCAGCCTGTCAGTGCAGAACTGACGAGGGGTTGGAGCCCTTGGTGGTCTCCCTGCCTTCCCTGCATGCTTTTCTGAATGGTGCCACCGTTGAGAACTGATTTATGGCGCCTGGACTGGCCGGCAAGCCTGTGCCATGTAATGTGCCTGTGCTGTGTAATGGCTGAGGTTGGAAACCTGCTCCACGCCTCCTGCATCTTCAAGGGCAATATCATTTGCAAAGTCAGAAGCATTCAGCGCACATGGAGGGTGCCTGTGGGAATGCCTGGGATGGGTAATGAATCCAAACTCACTTTCCAGCTTGCTCACATGACAAATAGCCTGGTAAGATGATGAAGAGGAATGAAGACAGGCTACAGCCCCTCTGTGCACATTGCAGCGAATTTCCCAGGAGCAAGCACAAGTAATGCAGGTTCCAAGTACAGAGTTGTCTGGGGAGACAAATGAAGAGGTAGTGGGGTGTCTGTGTTTTTTGGGGGGGGTGGGGGAAGGAAAGAGAATATGGAATTTGGTTTTCTATTTTTGTTCCCCCCGCCACCCTCCGTAAGTGAGCAGGAGGAGTAAGAGGAAACCTCAAGGGCAGGAAACTTCCACTTCTCTAAGGAACGCACTGCAAAGACAAGGCTTGACACCCTGAAGGTGTTTAGTATGCTAACAAAATGCTGCATAATGTGGCTTCAGAGCACTGACGGAATTGATCAAAGAAATCGGGGCTTTCCTGCTGTGCTGGGCTCCCCTGCCGTGCGCAGTGAAGGCAGCTCCGACATTTCGGGAGCTTGATGAGAAGTGGGCGTGGGTCTGCAGTGAGGCTGGGAACTGTCGAGGCCTCTGAAGCTGTGAGGAGCGAGGCAGTTTGATCCTGCCACCCACTGGCTGGGTGATTTGAGTAAACCTTTGCCTTATCTTCCTGTACCTCAAAAGAGGACAGTTTCTAGTTGATGAATCACTTTGTAAATGTACATTTGCAGATGCCAAATATTGAATCTAGGCCGTGGTCCAGACTCGGAGAAAACATTTCGGCAAGGGTCTTTTTAAGATCACGTACAATGAAGGGCATTAGGACACTGAGGGGTGACAGAACAAACGCACTGGCCAATGGATGTTTTGGGAAGGACAGCGCTGGCTGGATGGCCAGGGCCACCGTGTTTCCAGCACCAGGCAACCCAGCAAGGTCTCGATGAGTTGTGTTAGGCAGGGCAGGGCAAGGGCAGCTGGTGAGTCTGTACCCACGCCATCAACAGCTCAACCAGGCCACGGGACAGCTCCAGGATTGGGTCTTGTGCTGACACTGCATGGAAGCTAGTCTGCTTACTTGAGACACAGAAACACTTTAATGATCACTCTCTTGGTGCCAGAATAGAAGGAAGGGGACTCCTGGAATGAAGGCAGGCAGCTGTCTGCAGGGACTGGTGAGTGGAGATGTCTCCCAGGAGGGCAGGTAGCCAGTTGGTAGGGCCAGCATGTTAAAAATATGCTTAATTAACACGAAGCTTGAACGATTAATACAAACTTTCATTTATTTTTTTTTTTTTGAGACAGGGTCTCACTCTGTTGCCCAGGCTGGTGCAGTAGCGCAATCTCAACTCACTGCAGCCTCTGCCTCCTGGACTCAAGCCACCCTTCCACCTCAGCCTCCCAAGTAGCTGGGACTACAACCATGCAACACCATGCCCGGTTAATTTTTGTATTTTTTGTAGAGACAGGTTTTTGCCATGCTGCCCAGGCTGGTCTCAAGCAATCCTCCCGCCTCAGCCTCCCAAAGTGCCAGGAATATAGGTGTGAGCCACCACGCTGGGCCATAAAAACAATTTTTAATGTTTCCCTACTCATTTATAAAAAACCCAACTCTAACTAAAAGGAAGTTACTTTAAATTAAAAATAATTTCATGTTTACATGCATCTATCTTCCCGCCATCAATTCAACAACTATTTATAGAAATCATAAAAGCATGTCGCCCTGCAGAAACAGTGTAAAAGCTATAAGTAAGATATGTAATCAATGACCTCCTGCTAAGGTGCAATTTGGAATTTTATCTATATCATGATCTATGAAGTTCTGACATTAACAGACATGATTCTCATTTTATGGAAACCAGTGAGTGCTAGTACTCTTCCCTTCATCTCCAACTCCAACGGTTTCCCTCCCCTGCCCTTTCTCCCCACAAGCTGAATTTACTCAACTACAGAAATGACATCGAATGAAACTCTATAATTCTTCAACTCAGAATATTCTCCCATAGAAAAGGGTTGTTACAAGAGCCGGGAAAACCATTTCTGGGTTTATCCAACTAGGATTCCAAATTTCTAGAAATGAGATGGACAGGATTATAATCACCATTTAAGCTCCTAAAGTCAGTCCAGTAATGGTTCTCCTGGTAGGAAATAAACTCACAATGTATTTGGTGGGGGGGTCTGGCATCAACATAGGGCTGAGGGGAAGAAAAACTCCAGCACTCATTGTGAATCTCAGTAATTATAGAATACACTGCCCGACTTTTTCCTCCTACACAACAGCAACGTAGGTTTTGTAGGGTTTTTACAGATAAAACCATGAATCCACATATATTTAGTTAATCTTCACCTCATGGCAACTCTGTAAGGTCGGTGTTTTTTCCCTTTAAATAGGTGAGGATAGGCTTGACTAGATAGGTGTAACCAGACTTTCATCATTGGTTATTGGCCATAGTGTCCTAAATTCTACAATAAATTTTCTTTTTTTTCTTTTTTTTTTTTTTTTTTTTTGAGAAGGAGTCTCGCTCTGTTGCCCAGGCTGGAGTGCAGTGGCGTGATCTTGGCTCACTGCAAGCTCCGCCTCCTGGTTTCATGCCATTCTCCTGCCTCAGCCTCCTGAGTAGCTGGGACTACAGGTGCCCACCACCACGCCCAGCTAATTTTTTGTATTTTTAGTAGAGATGGGGTTTCACCGTGTTAGCCAGGATGGTCTCAATCTCCTGACCTTGTGATCCACCCGCCTCGGCCTCCCAAAGTGCCAGGATTACAGGCATGAGCCACCGCACCCAGCCTACAATAAACTTTTATACATGTTTTATCATTTTGAGCCTTATATTTCTGTGATGTAACATGTATAGCTTTAACCCTCATTTTAGGAAGAATGAAGGTTCATGCAGCTAGTAAGAGGCTCAGCTAGGCCTTGGCAGAAGCCTGGACAGCCAGTCAATGGCCTGCCACCACACGGTCCAATGAGAACGCTTAGTTGGGGTGATGGTGGTGGAGTGGCTTTGTCTCTGCCAGACATAGGAGCGGCTGTAATTTAATTGGAGCAGTAGTAAAGAGACAGGAAGGATCCTGGAAGTGACTAAACATTTGCATGGGAAGGCAGGTGCTAACTCCCCTAGCTTTCTGAACTCCCGAGATTGGGTTGCCAGATAAAATACATGTCACCAGGAGCGTCCCATGCAATGTTGGGGTGCATACTTATAATACAACCTTATTTGTTGGTTATCTGAAATTTGAATTTGCCTGGATATCCTATATTTTTTTGGTTAAGTCTGGTGGCCCTACCCCTAAGGATAAGCCAGTCTTCCACCCCTCACTCTCATCACTATGAAACAGGCACATCTTTATTATGGTGACAATGACCCACCACCTTCATTTGCGAGTGGAGACCTCAACTGAGATAATTTCCTATTTCCTCTAATTTGAGCAGCCTAAAGTTAGAACTGGAATAGATTTAAGTATTTCCAAAAGTTTTGAATTTGGGAGATCATGCATTACACAACTGTTAGCTAAGGCTGGTCTCTGGCACTGAACTTATAATGGGGTCCAGGCTGTCCCTCTGTGGCACACCTCTCCACAGATGGCACTGAACAAAGCGTCCCACACCATGCTTACCCCACCACATTCTTTGAGTAGAAGAGTCACTTACTTGTATGGAATGTGTTTGCTGCCATTGACGAGAGCCAGGATGACATTGCCCAGAGCAGACAGCGAGAGACACAGCCCTGAGCCTCCTTCTCGATTTTTGCTAAGAGCTTTCACACAGCTGCCGAGATCAATGAGATGCAGGCGGCTGCGACCTCCAGACACTACCACAGGGGAGAAGATAAAAGAGAAATGGTTAAGTTCTGACAAACACTCATCTGTTCTTCATGTAGCTCCTTGGGAAATCTGAGGCAAAATGAGAAGGGGAAGTAAAAGGTTGACGTTCATGACCTACTAGGAAACCCCAGAAAAATCACGCTGGGGTTGCAAATAGCATTGGTCCTCTTAAATTCTTTCCACCACGCACCACTGACCTTCTAAAGCCTACTGACATTCACACTACAAATAAGTGAATTCAAATAATTCTTGCAGGTTGAACTGAATGAGATTTTGGAGAAAATAAATGTCAAATTACAGGAGGATACGTTTCTACCTAAATGCCATTTGAATAGCAGAATTCTGAAACTCATCAAGTTAAAACCTGAATGGCTCATGAGTGATTACCTGCTTTGGTTGATCGTTATACAGAAACCAACCTAAAGCTCAGCCAGGAATCAGGTTGCAAACCCAAGACAAAAATCAGGAAGAAGTAACGACCAGGTGCAGAGACAGGGAAGACCCAAATATTTGCTGAGTATCTGCCAAGTGCCAGGTGCTGTACAAACATCAGTTTCGTTCAGTTCCCACAGTAGAATCATAAGCTAAATACTATTATCCTTTCTGTATTGATGAGAAAATAACTGTTCAGAAAACTTAAGCAACTTGCCCATGAATACCTCTGCTGCTGAAGTACAGGGAGACCAAGGTGGCAACAATTTACAAGACAGAGTACTGCAGAGGAGAGAGCTCTAGAGATTTGCAGAAGGTCCCTCAAGTGTTCAGCTGAGTACTGATCAGCACACCTGATGTAGTTTGGATGTTTGTGTCCTCCAAATCTCATGTTGAAATGTGATCCTCAATGTTGGAGATGTGTCGTCCACCCCCATGACCCAAACACCTCCCAGCAGGTTCCAACACTGAGAATCACAGGCGTCGTGTTGAAGTGTGATCTTCAGTGTTGGAGATGGGGCCTGGTGGGAGGTGTTTGGGTCTTGGGGGTGGATCCCTCATGAACAGCTTAGTGCCCTTCCCATGGTAATGAGTGAGTTCTTGCTCTTTAACTTCATGCAAAAGCTAGTTGTTTAAAAGATGCTGGCACCTTCCCCCTTCTCTCTCCTGCTCTCTCTTGCCATGTGACACGCCTACTCTCCTTTCACCTTCCACCATCATCGTAAGCTTCCTGAGTCCTCACCAGAAGCAGATGCTGGGTGCCATGCTTCTTGTATAGCTTGCAGAACTGTGAGCAGAATAAGCCTCTTTATAAATCACCCAGCCTCAGGTGTTTTTTACAGCAATGCAAAAGGGACTAACACAACATTCATGTGAGAAAACTATTCAAGGCTCAGAAATTAACTACCTAAAAAGATTGGAGATAATGGTGCACAGCACTCACACAAAGCCAGGAATAGTGCCACTTCCTAACAGCCAGCCTGGAAAACTTCACAATTCACAGGGCATTGGGTTGAATACCCAGAAGTCTTTCCCATACTTAGCCACAGACTGAACACTGACCTGATCCCACCTAACACATATTAAAAGCAAAACAAAAAAATGATCAAACTGTTTCCAAGTAATGCAACTGCATTCTAAAACAAAGCTTAAGAATATTTACAAAGTAAAGACTCGGGAAAATGAAACCCATAATGAAGAGATAACTGAAACCAACCTAGAACTAGCATAGATGTTAGAATTGACAGAAGCAGCTATTTATTAAAACAGTTATTTCAACTGTATTTCAGATGTTCAAAAAGTTAAGTAGAAACATGGAATATATATTTAAAAAGACACAAAACTGAACCTCTAGAGATAAAAACTACAATGTGTGAGATAAAAAAAATATAGTAGATGAGATGAATGGCAGATTAGATATTGCAGAATGAAAAATCAGCAAATTTGAAGATCTAGCAATAAAACTATTCAGAATAAAATATATAGGGAAAAAAAACAACAAATAAAACACAGAAAAAAAAGAGCTGTAGGACAACTTCAAGTGCCTGCTATGTGTAATTGGAGTCCCTAAAGGAGAAGACAGAGTGTGGTACAAATAAAATATTTGAGAAAAATAATGGCTAAAACTTCCCCACATTTAATGAAAGTCATAAACCCATGTATCCAAGAAGCTAAGTGAGCCCCAAGCACAAAGGAAGAAACTATATCAAGGCACATCATAACCAAACCGCCCAAAACCAGTGATATAAAGAAAAATCTTGAAAAGAGCCAGAGAGAAAAAAGCACGTTACATATAAAGGAACAAAGATAAGGATGACGGCAGATTTCTCATTGGAAATACAGGTGAGAAGACAGTGGAGCAATGTTTTTAAAGTACTAAAAACTGTCAAGTTAGAAATATACACCCAGCAAAAGTATCATTCCAAAACAAAAGGGAAATAAAGATATTTTTTGACTTAAAAATCCTAAAAGAATTCACCATAAGCAAAAACACAAGGAATATAGACAAAGGAATGAAGAGCTTTGGAAATGATAACCACATGGGTAAATATGTAATTTTTATTACTTTAAATCTCTTTAAAAGATTATTATTAAAACAAAAATCATAATGTAACGTGTGAATGATGACATATGTAAAATTAAAATGTTTGATAGCAATAACACAAAAGTCAGACGGGAGAAATGGAAGTATACTATTGTAAGGTTTTTATTCCTTATATAAGTGGTATAATATCACTTTAAATTAGACTGTGGTAACTTAAACATATATATTACAAACACTAAAGCAATAATTAAACAATAAAAGTAATAGCTAATAAACCCACAGAAGATGGAAATTGGAACCATTTAAATGTTTCATAAATCCAAAAGAAAGCAAAAAAGAGAGAGAGAGAACAAAGATCAGATGGGACAAATAGAAAACAGAAAATAATATTTTGAACCAAACCATATCAATAATCATATGAAATTGAAATAGTCTAAAATACCCTTATTAAAAGGCAAAAATCGTCAGATTGGATAAAAAAGTGAGGCTCTACTATATGCTTGAGAAATACACTTCAAATAGAAATAAACAATCATTTAAACGTGTAAGTGTGGATAAGGCAAACAGTAACCATAAGAGCTGGAGTGGATCTACCAATATTAGACAAAAGAGACTGAAGACAGTCAAAGACCTATCCCATTTGTGCTAAGACCCGCAGAGAGGCATGTACAGCACCTCCTGCTGCAGTCGTGGAACTATCCTATTGATGCAGTGTCCTCCTGGGAAAGACATGCCTTCTGATACAAGACTGGGCTCTCCAGCTTCTATTCCACAGCAGATCCCAAGAGGGCCCAGTCACAGCTCCAGACCCTCTCTCTGTAATCAGATAACTATTCTATCTCTACAGGAACTTGCTGGGTGACACACACCCCTCTGAGCTGAGACTGACCCCTTCAGTATCTGTCTCACAGCAGATCTTATGAGGGCCCAGATTCTGCTCCAGCTCCTCCTGCTGATAGTTGGGGAACTATCCTGTCTATGCAGGGACTTACTAGAAGATGCATGCCCATTTGAGCCAATGTGGCAGGTATGCCAGCCTCCATTTTTTTTTTTTTTTTTTTTTTTTTTTCTGAGACGGAGTCTCGCTCTGTCCCCCAGGCTGGAGTGCAGTGTTGCAATCACGGCTCACTGAAAACTCTGCCTCCTGGGTTCATGCCATTCTCCTGCCTCAGCCTCCCGAGTAGCTAGGACTACAGGCACCCGGCCACCCTCCATCTTATAGCAGACCCTGAGGAGGCCCAGTCTTGGCTTTAGCTCCTCCTGTTATGGGCAAGAAACTACTCCACTTGTGCAGAGACTTGCTGAGTAACACATGCCTGTCTCAGCCAATGAGAAAGGCCCATCAGCCTCCTTCCCACAGCAGATTCTGAAGGGGTCCAGTCTCAACTTCTGCCCCTCTTGCTATAGTTGGGGACACAACCTACCTGTGCAGAGACCTGCTGGGAAGTAGACTTGTCTGGGAAACTAGGACAGTCTTCAGGACTCAGGTCCCTGGTGGCCAGTGTTCCCACATAACACAAGTACCGTCATTGGGTCTTCCCCAGGTCCGTTTGGGCCAGAAAGCCATTGTGAGACTCACAGCAAGCCAGGGAATAGAGTATCCTCTAATGCTGAGATTACTGTGGTGATCACAGGGAACACAATAGTCAGTTGGCTTAGAATCTCTGGAAGACCCTCTGAAGAAGTACAGGCACAAACAAAGCCAGACTAGGAAGACTAAAATATTTAATCTCTCAATGTGTAGATATCATCATACTTCAAGCGTCAAGAACATTCAGGGAAATATGATGTCAAAGGGACAAAGTAAGGCACCAAGACTGGCCCTAAAGTGATGAAAATATGTGATCTCTCAGACAAATAATTCAAAATAGCAGTTTTAAGGAAGCTCAGTGAACTTCAAGAAAGCTCACAGAAATCTCTCAGAGAAAGTTCACAGAAAAGATTTAAAAAATAAAATTAAACAGAAATCCTGGAGGTAAAAAATTCAATAAATGAAATGAAAAATGCAATAGAGCGTATCAGAGGAATTGATCAAAAAGAAGAAAGGATCAGTGAGCTCAAAGACAAGACTATTTGAAAATAGACAGTCAGAAGAGAAAAAAAAGAATAAGAAGGAATGAACAAAGCTTATGGGACCTATGGACCAACATCAAAAGAGCAAATATTTGGGTTAGTGGAATTAAAGAGAGAACTGAGAAAGACAAGAAGTTGCAAGCTTATTCAAAGAAATAACACAGAACTTTCCAAACCTGGAGAAAAATATAAATATTCAGGTACACAAAGGTCAAAAGTCACCGATCAGATTCAACCCAAGTGAGAAGACCCCAAGACATATTATAATTAAACTCACAAAGGTCAAAGGCAAAGAGGGTCCTAAAAACAGTGAGAGAGCAAGAAAAAAGCAAATAACATACAACGGACATCAAATACACCTGGCAGCAGACTTCTCAGCAGAAATTTTACAGGTCAGGAGGGAGTGAGATGATATTATTCAAAGTGCTGAAGGAAAAAAAAAATGTTCCCCAAGGATACTGCACCAAGCAGTTATTCCTCAGAAATGAAGGAGAGATGAGTTTTCCAGAGAAAACGTATCACTACCAGACCTAGCCTATGATAAATGCTAAAGAAGTTCTTAAAAGCATAGGAAAAATAATGCTAATGTGATTGTTATATTGTAATCATGGCATCTAAACCATTTAAAATTTTATTAAGAAGATTAAAAGACAAAACTATTAAAAATAACAACTATAAAATTTTTGAGGTAGGCAAATTTTGATCTTGTGACATCAAAAATTTAAAATGTAGGAACAGAAGGGAATTAAAATGCATGTGTTTTTTTCTTTTTGTTTCTTTTCTTCTGCTACAATGAAAAGTTAAATTGGTATCACTTTTAAATAACTTGTTATAATTACAGGATGTTTTTGTAAGCTTCATGGTAACCTAAAGCAAAAATCTATAATTGATAAACAAAAAATAAAAGCAGCAAATTAAAACATGCTATCAAAGAAAATCACTTAACCACAAAAATAAGAAAGGAAGTAAGGAGGTACACTATATAACAACTAGAAAATAAGTAATAAAATGGCAGTAGGAAGGCCTTACCTATCAATAATAACATGGAATGTATATGGACTAAATTCTCCAAATAAAAGACATGGAGTGGCTGAATGGATTAATAAGTAAGACCCAAGTATATGTTGCCTACAATAAACTAACTTCACCTATAGAGACACACATAGACTAACAGTGAAGGGATGGGAAAAGCATTCCATGCAAATGGAAACCAAAAGCATTCCATACAAATGGAAACCAAAAATGATCAAGACTAGCTATACTTCGATCAGATAAAATAGACTTTAAGTGAAAAACTATATAAAGAAACAAAGGAAATTGTTATATAATAATTCAGCAAGGAGTCAATTCTGAAAGAGGATATAACAATTATGAATATATATAACCAAATAGCAGGGTATATATATATATATATAGAGAGAGAGAGAGAGAGAGAGCAAATATTAGTAGATCTAAACAGGAGAGGTAGACTACAATACAATAACAGTAAGGGACTTCAACACCTCACTTTTGGCAATAGGTGGATCATTCAGGCAGAAAAATCAACAAAGAAACCTCAGAATTAAACTATACTCTAGACCAAAGGGACCTAACAGATATTCACAGAACATTTGATCCAACTGCTACAAAATACACATTCTTCTCATCAGTACATGGAACATTCTCCAGGACAGACCATATGATAGGCCACAAAACATGTCTCAACAAGTTTTAAAAAGTCAAAATCATATCAAGTATCTTTTCTAACCACAACAGAATAAAACTATAAATAACAAGAAATGTTGGAAACTATTCAAATATATGGAAATTGAATAACATGCTCCTGGATGATCAATGGGTCAATGAAGAAATTAAGAATGAAGTTTAAAAAGTTCTTGAAACAAATGAAAATGGAAATACAATATGCCAGAACCCACGGGATACAGAAAAAGTAGCACTAATGGAAAGTTCTATAGCAATAAATACCTACATTAAAAATATAGACTCCAAATATAAACAACCTAATGTTGCACCTCAATGAACTAGAAAAGGAAAAACAAACCAAACCTAAAATTAGTAGGAAAAAAATGAGTAAAGATGGAGCAGAAATAAATGAAATTGAGACTAAAATAACAATACAAAAAACCCCAACAAAATAAAAAGTTTGTTTTTTTGAAAAGCAACAAAATTTTAAAACCTTCAGTTAGACTAAGAAAAAACAGAAGACCCAACTAAATAAAATCAGAGATGAAAAAGATGACATTACAACTGATACTACAGATACACAAAGGATCATTAGCGACCATTATGAATAACTATATGCCAATAAATTGGAAAATCTAGGAAAAAATGGAAAAATTCCTGGAAACATATAACCTACCAAAACTCAACTGTGAAGAAATAAAAACCTGAATAGGCCAATAACAAGTAATAGATTGGAACAGTAATAAAAAGTCTCCCATCAAAGAGAAGCCAGGGAACTGATGGATTTACTGCTGAAATCTACCAAACATTTAAAGAATAACTAATACCAATTCTACTCAAACTATTTTTAACAATTGAAGAGGAGGAAATACTTCCAAACTCATTCTACAAGGCCACCCTGACCTTATTTCCAAAGCCAAAGATAACAAAAGAAAACTACAGGACAATATTTCTGATAAAAAGAGGGAAAAATCCTCAACAAAATACCAATAAACAGAAGACAGCAATATATTAAAAAGACCATTCACCATAATCAAGTAGGATTCATCCCAGTGATGCAAGGATAGTTCAACATATGTAAGTCAAATAAGTTTAATACATCACACATCAACAGAATCAAGGAAAATATATGAATTACTTCAATAGATGCTGGAAAGGTAGTCAGTAAAATTCAATATCCCTTCGTGATGAAAATCCTCAACAAATTTATAGAAGGAACATACCTCAACAAGATAAGTGTCATATATTACACACTCACAGCTTATGTCATACTGAATAGGTTAAAATAGAAAACCTTTCACTAAGATCTGGAATAAGAAAAGGATGCTCAGTGGTGAACTATAAACTGTAATTATTCAGTATAGTACTAGAATTCCTAGCCAGCACAATAGGGCAAGAGAAAGAAATAAAGGGCATCCAAATTAGAAAGGAAGAAGTCAAATTATTCTTGTTTGTAGATGACATGATCTTATATTTAGAAAAATCTAAAGATTCCACCAAAAAACTTTTAGAACTGATAAATGAGTTTAATAAAGTTGCAGGATATAAAATAAACACGCAAAATGTGTAACATTTCTATATGCTATCTGTGATCAATCTGAAAGGAAATCAAGAAAGCAATCACAACAGCTACAAAAACATACCTAGTAAAAATTCAACCAAAGAAGTGAAAGATCTCTACAAGAAAAATTATAAAACACCAATGAAAGATATTGAAGAGCACATAAATGGAAAAATATCCCATGCTCAAAGAAGAATTAATATTATTAAAATGTCTATACTACCCAAAGCAATCTACAGATTCACTGCAATCCCTATCAAAATACTCATGACATTCTTCACAGAAATAGAAAAAAGAAATCTTAAAATTCTTATAGAATCACAAAAAACCCGTAGTAGATAAATCAATACTGACCAAAAATAACCAGGCTGGAAACATCATACTATCTGATTTCAAATTATACTACAAGCTATAGTAAGCAAAGAGTATACCACTGGCATAAAAACAGACACATAGAAGACCAATGGAATACAATAGAAAACCCAGAAATAAATCTATGCACTTACAGCCAACTCATTTTTGACAAAGGCACCAATAACATACATTGGGGAAAAGACAATCTCTTTAATAAATGGTGCTGGGAAAACTGGATATTCATATGCAGAAGAATGAAACTAGAGCTTCATTTTTTATCACATTATGAAAATCAACTCAAAATGGACTTAAATTTAAACCTGAAACTATGAAACTGCTGGGAGAAAACACTGGGGAGATACTACAGGACATTGGCGAATATTTTTGGGGTAAGACCTCAAAAACATAGGCAATAAAAGCAAAAATAGACAAGTGGGATTACATCAAGCTAAAAAGCTTCTACACAGAACAGGAAACAACAAAGTGAAAAGATAACCTACATATGGAATGGGAGAAAATATTTGCAAATTATTTGACAAGGGATTAATAACCAGAATATATGAGGAATTCAAACAACTCAATGGGCCAAAACCCCCCAGATAATCCAATTTAAAATGAGCAAAAGACCTGAATAGACATTTATCAGAAGAAGACACACAAGTGGCCAAGAGGTATGTGAAAAGATGTTCAACATCACTAATCATCAGGAAAGTGCAAATCAAAACCATAACGAGCTATCATCTCACCTCAGTTACAATGGCTATTATCAAAAAGACAAAAAACAAATGCTGGAGAGGATGCAGGAAATGGTGAATGCTCATACACTTGGTGGGAATGTAAATTAGTACAGCCATCATGGAAAACATTCTGGAGGTTTCTCAAAAAACTTAAAAGTAGAACTACTGTATGATCCAGCAATCCCACTGCTGAGTATATATCCAAAGTAAAAGAAATCAGTATATCAAAGAGGTATCTGCACTACCATGTTTATTGTAGCACTATTCACAATAGCCAAAATATAGAATCAGTCTAAGTGTCCATCAATGGGTAAATTAATAAAGAAAATGTGAGATAGATACACACACACACACACACACACAATGGAATATTATTCAGCCATAAAAATAATGAAATCCTGTCATTTTAAGCAACATGGATGAAGCTGGAAGTCATTATGTTAAATGAAATAAGTCAGGTATGGAAAGACAAATATCCCATGTTGTCACTCATATGTGGGAGCTACAACAGTGGATCTCATGGAGATAGAGAGTAGAAGAGTGGCTACCAGAGGCTGGGAAGGGAAGGGCAGAGGGTAGGATAAAGAGAAATTGGTTAGCAGGTACAAACATACAGTTAGATAAAAGGAATGAGTTTTAGTATTCAATAGTACAGTAGAAGAACTATAGTTAATAATAAACATTCCCAACACAAAGCAAAGATAAATGTTTGAGGTGATGAATATCCCAATTTTCCTAATTTGATCACTACACATTGTATACATGCATCAAAATATCATGTGTACTCCAAAAATATGTACAACTATGACACACAATTTAAAAATGCCAAAAAAGACTGAAGATGAAAAATGTTGTTAGAGTCAAAAAAAAAAACGTTCTATAATGAGAAATGAGATAATTCATCAAGAGGTCATAATAAAAAAATTTATGTGGCTCATGTTCTAATCCATGAAGAACAATCTGGTAGAACTGCATGAAGAAACAGACAAGTCTTTAATTATAGTTGGCAATTTCAAATACCCCCATCTCAAAACTGATATGACAAGTAGACAGAAAACCATAAGGATATAAATTTGAACAATACTATCAAATATCTACTTGACACAGAACATTCAACCCAACAATAGCAGAATACACATTCTTTTGAAGTGCACACAAAGCATTTACCAAGATACACAGTATTCTGGTCCACAGAACAAGTCTAAATAAATGTTAAGGATTCATGTCACTCAAAGCATGTTGCCTGATACAATGGAATTAAATTAGAAGTCAATGTAGAACAATATCTGAAAAACCTCCAAATATTCTGAAACTCCACAACTTGGCCCCAAACAGCCTATGGTCAAGGAAAAATTCAAAATGAAAATTTTAAAGTCTTTTTAAGTGAATAGAAATGAAAATGCAACCCATCCAAATTTGTGAATAACCCTGAAGATGTACTTAAAACAAACGTATAGCATTAAATGCCTATATCAGAAAGCAACCATGGCTTCAAATCAATGATCTCAGCTTACACCTTAAGAAATTAGAAAAAGATGAGCAAATTATAGACAAAATAATAGCAGAAAGGAAAAAAAAATAGCAGAAAGGAAAAAAAATAGCAGAAATCAACGAAACAGAAAACCAAAAACAATGGAGAAAAGTCGATGAATCAAAAGTTGGTTCTTTGAGAAGATCAACAAAATTTGTAAATCCCTAGCACAAATGATCTGGGAAAAAGAAAGACACAAATGATCAATATCAGGAATGAGATGGCCTCATCTAAAGTTCCTACAGATATCAAAAAGATAATAAAGAAACATTATGCCAGTAAATTAAACAATGTGTAAGAATGGAAAAATGTCTTGAAAGATGAAAAATTCCAAAGCTCTTTCAAGAGGTAATAGATAATAAAAATGGCCCTAGATTCATTAAAGAAATAGAATCTGTAGTTCACAACCTTTCCACAGGTAAAACTCTAGGACCAGATGGAGGCACTGGTGAATTCTACCCACCATTTAAGGAAGAAATAATAACAGTTCTACTCAAAGTCTTCCTGAAAATAGGAAGAAATACTTCCCAAGCTATACTATACTAATCTGATACCAAAAGCAAACAAGTATGTTGTTTGAAAAAAAAAAAAAAACACAAAAACCTGCAGAACAATATCCCTCATGAACATTGCCAAAAAAATTCTAAATAAAATATTAAAGAGCCATATTAGAAAATTGTATCTAGGGCTAGGCATGGTGGCTTACTCCTACAATCTCAGTATTATGGGAGGCTGAGGTGCTTCAGGCCCGAAGTTCAAGACCAGCCAGGGCAACATAGCAAGACCTCATCACTACAAAAAAAGTATAAAAAATTAGCTGGGCACAGTGGTGCACACTGTAATCCTAGCTAGTTGGGAGGCTGAGATGGAAGGAAGGATTGCTGGAGCACAGGAGTTTAAAATTGCAGTGAGCTGTGATCATGCCACTACACTCCAGCCTGGGTGACAGAGTGAGACCCCAACTCAAAAAAATATTGTATCTAGCAACAAATACAAAGGGTTTTATACCATGAGCAAGTGAGGTTTATTTCAGGAATGCAAGGTTGATTAACAAAAAAAACCTAATCAATATAATTTACCATATTAACAAACTGAAAGGAAAACTATATGATTGTTTCAGTAGATGCAGAAAAAGCATTTACCAAAATTCAGTCATTCCTGATAAAAAATCCTCAGCAATATATAAGTAGAAGGCAATATCCTCAATTTAATAAAAGGTATCTACTAAAAACTAAAGCTAACATCATACTTAATGGTAAAAGACTAAATGCCTTCCCTCTAAGATTGGGAGCAAGACAAGCATGTCCACTCTCACCGTTTCCATTTAACATTATACTGGAAGTCCTGGCCAGTACAATAAGGCAAGTACAATAAATGAACGATATCCAGATTGGAAAGAAAGTCAAATGATCTTCATTGGTGATATAGTCACCTATAGAAAAATCTAATGGATGCAATCCACAAAAAAGGTACTAGAACTAATAGGTGAGTTTAGGAAGGTTGCAGGATATGAGGTCAATGGACAAAAATCAATGCATTTCTTTATCATAGTAACAAACAATTAGAAATTAAAACATAAGGCTGGGTGTGGTGCCTCGCACCGGTAATCCCAGCATTTTGGGAGGCCAAGGCAGAAGGATCACTTAAGGCCAGGAGTTCAAGACCAGCCTGGTCAACATAGTGAGACCCCATCTCTACAGAAAAATGATACAAAAAGAAATTAGCTGGGTATGATGTCATGTGCCTATAATCCTAGCTACTCAGGAGGCTGAGGTGGCAGGAACACTACAAATTTGAGGCTGCAGTGAGCTATGACTGTGCCTCTACAATCCAGCCTGGGTGTCACTCTGTCACCCCAACTCAAAAAAAATTAAAAATACCATTTACAACAACATCAAACACATGATTTAGAGATATGATTAAAATGTGTACATAAAAACCATAAAATATTGCTGAAAGCTATCCTTAAAAAAAGATGAAATATTGCTGAAAGCTATCCTTAAAAAATGAATGAAAAGTAAAGTCTTTCCCAAACAAGAAAAAATGGAGGGAATTCACCACCACTAGACAGGCCCTGTGAGAAATGCTTGAGGGAGTTCTACATCTGGAAGCAAAAGGACAATAACTACCACCGTGAGAATACGCAAGACTGAAAAACTCACTGGGAGAGCAGATACACGAATGAGAAAGAGAAAGGAGTCAAACATCACTACAATAAACTACCAAATCATCAAGGTAAGCAATACAAGAGGAAGAAAGGAACAAAAAATATACAAAACCATCATAAAACAGTTTACAAAATCACAGAAGTAAGTCCTTACCTATCAATGACATCCTTGAATGTAAACAGTTTAAATTCCTTAAGTAAAAAATATAGACAAGATGAATGGATTTATTTAAAAAAAAAAAAAAGACCCAACTGTATGCTGTCTCCAACAAATGCATTTCATTTGTAAAGATGCACATAGAATGAAAATGAAGGGATGGAAAAAATTATTCCATGAAAATAGAAACCAAAAGTGTGCCAGAGTAGCTATACTTACATAAGACAAAATACAATGTTAGCCAAAAAACATAAAAAGTGACAAATAAGGTCATTATATTAATATAATGATAAAGGGAACAATTCAGCAGGAGACTATAACAATTGTAAATATATATGCAGTCAACACTGGAGTACCCAGATATATTATATAAAACAATTATCATTAGAGCTAAAGAGCTTGACCCCAATGCAGTAATAGTTGAGGCCTCCACCACTCCATTTTATTATTTATTATTTTTTGGTATGGGGTCTCACTCTGTCACCCAGGCTGGAGAGCAGTGGTGTGATCTTGGCTCACTGCAGCCTCAATCTCCCAGGCTCAAACGATCCTTCCACCTTGGCCTCCGGAGTAGCTGGCACTACAGGTGCATGCCACCACACCCAGCTAGTTTTTGTATTTTTTCTAGAGACAGAGTTTCACCATGTTGCCCAGGCTGGTCTCAAACTCCTGAGCTCAAGTGATTGGCCCGCCTTGGCCTTCCAAAGTGCTGGGATTACAGGTGTGAGCCAATGTGCCTGGTCCTGGTCCACCACTCCGCTTTAGCACTGGACAGATCAACTAGACAGAAAATCAATAAAGAAACATTGAACTTAATCCGCACTACAGACCAAATGGATCGAACAGATATTTAGAGAGCATTTCATTCAAGTGCTGCAAAATACACAACCTTATTATCAGTACATGGAATATTCTCCATGATAGACCATGTGTTAGACCACAAAATAACTCTCAACACATTTTTAAAAGTTGAAATCATATCAAGCATCTTAGATCACAATTCAGTAAAACGAAATCAATAACAAGAACTTTAGAAACTGTACAAATAAATGAAAATTTAAAACCATGCTCCTACATGAAAACATGCTCCTAAATGAATGAAATAAAATCTTTTTTCTTAAAACAAATGAAAATGGAAAAACACCATTCCTAAACCTACGGGATACAACAAAAGCAGTAGTAAGAGGGGTTTAGAGTAATAAATGTTTTCCTCAAAAAAGGAGAAAGATTTCAAATAGACAACCGAATGATGCATCTCAAGGAACTAAAAAAGCCAAAGCAAACTGAGCCAAAAATCAGAAGAAAGAATAAAGATCAGAGACGAAATAAACACACACACACACAAAAATTACAAAGGATCAAGAAAATAAAAGCTTGATTTTTGAAAGGAACCAAAATTGATTAAACTGTTAGACTAACCAAGAAAAAAGATCCAAATTTTAAAAAATGAGAAATGAAAAAAATACCACAGAAATACAAATGATTAGAGTCTTATGAAGAACTACACACGAACAAATTGGAAAGCTCAGGTGAAATGGATAAACTCTTGGACACATACAGCCTTACAAGATTAAATCAGGAAGAATAAAAAAATCTGAACAAATAATGAGTAACAAGAATTAATCAGTAATAAAAAGTTCCCCAACAAAGAAAAGCCCAGGACTTTAAAAGTTCAGTAGAATTAAGGAGTAAAGTAAAACCAATTCTTCTCAAACTATTCCAAAAATTGAAGAGGCGGGAAGTCTTCCTAATTCACGCAACCAGGCCACCATTATCCTAATACCAAAATGAGATACCAATATCCCTGATGAACATAGATGCAAAAATCATCTAAAAAATACTAGCGAACCAAATCTAACAACACACCAATAACATAATACACCATAATCAAGTGGGATTTATCCTAGGGATGCAATGATGGTTCGATGTATGCAAATCAATAAACGTGCACATCACATCAACATATGAGAGACTAAAACAACAAGATCATCTCAATAGACACAGGAAAAATATTTGATAAAATCTAACATCCTTCATGATAAAAACTCTCAATAAGTTAGGCATAGAAAAAACATGCCTCAGCATAGCAAAGGTCATATATGACAAACCCACAGCTAACATCATAATAAGTGGGGAAAAGCTAAAAGCCTTTTTTTTCTAAGAACTGGAACAAGACAAGGATGCCCACTTCCACCACTGTTATTCAACATAGTACTGGAAGTCCTAGCTAGAGCAATTAGGCAAGAGAAAGAAATAAAAGGCATCCAAACTGGAAAAGCGAAAGTCAAATTGTTCCTCTCTGCAGATGGCATATAATAATTAGAACAACCTAAAGATTCCACCAAAAACTCTGAGAACTGATAAATTTGGTAATGTGGCTGGATACAAAAATCAGTAGTGTTTCTACACACCAGCAACAAATAGTTGAAAAAGAAACCAAGAAAGCTACCCCATCTACTGTAGCTACTAAAAAATACCTAGGAATAAATGTAAGGAGGTGAAATACCTCTATAACAAAAACTTCAAAATACTGATAAAAAAATTGAAGAACATAGAAAAAAATGAAAAGACATCCCATGCTCATGGATCAGAAGAGTTAATATTATTTATTTATTTATTTATTTACTTCAAGTTCTGGGATACATGTGCAGAACCTGCAGTTTTGTTATATAGTTATCCATGTACTATGGTGGCTTGCTGTACCCATCAAACTGTCATCTAGGTTTTAAGCCCCACATGCATTAGGTATTTGTCCTAATGCTCTCACTCCCCTTTCCCTCAACCCCCTGACAGGCCCTGGTGTGTGTTGTTCCCCTCCTTGTGTCCATGTGTTCTCATTGTTCAACTCCCGCTTATGAGTGACAACGTGTGGTGTTTGGTTTTCTGTTCCTGTGTTAGTTTGCTGAGGATGACGGCTTCCAGCTTCATCCATGTCCCTGCAAAGGACATGATCTCATTCTTTTTTATGGCTGCATAGTATTCCATGGTGCATATGTATTACATTTTCTTCATGCAGTCTATCATTGATGGACATTTGGGTTGGTTCCATGTCTCTGCTATTGTAAATAGTGCTGCAATAAATATATGTGTGCATGTGTCTTTGTAGTAGAATGATTTATATTCCTTTGGGTATATACCCAGTAATGGGATTGCTGGGTCAAATGGTATTTCTGGTTCTAGATCCTTGAAGAATCACCACACTGTCTTCCACAGAAGTTGAACTAATTTACATTCCCACCAACAATGTGAAAGCGTTTCTATTTCTCCACAGCCTTGCCACCATCTATTGTTTCTTGACTTTTTAATAATCACCATTCTGACTGGCATGAGATGGTATCACATTGTCATTTTGATTTGCATTTCTCTAATGATCAGTGATGTTGAGCTTTCTTTCATGTTTGTTGGCCACATAAATGTCTTCTTTTGAGAAGTGTCTCTCCATATCCTTTGCCCACTTTTTGATGTTTGTTTTTCTTGTAAATTTAGGTTCCTTGTAGATTCTGGATATTAGACCCTTGTCAGATGGATAGATTGCAAAAACTTTCTCCCGTTTTGTAGGTTGTCTGTTCACTCTGATGCTAGTTTCTTTTGCTGTGCAGGAGCTCTTTAACTTAATTAGATCCCATTTGTCAATTGTGGCTTTTGTTGGCAATTGCTTTTGGTGTTTTCTTCATGAAGTCTTTGCCTCTGCCTATGTCCTGGCTGGTAGTGCCTAGGTTTTCTTCTAGGGTTTTTATGGTTTTGGGTTTTACATTTAAGTCTTTAATCCATCTTGAGTTAATTTTTTTATAAGGTGTAAGGAAGGGGTCCAGTTTTAGTTTTCTGCATACGGCTAGCTTTTCCCAGTACCATTTATTAAATAGGGAGTTCTTTCTCCATTGCTTGTTTTTGTCAGGTTTGTCGAAGATCAGATTGTTGTAGATGTGTAGTGTTATTTCTGAGGTCTCTGTTCTGTTCCATTGGTCTATATGTCTGTTTTGGTACCAGTACCATGTTGTTTTGGTTACTGTAGCCTTGTAGTATAGTTTGAAGTCAGGTAGCGTGATGCCTCCCAGCTTTGTTCTTTTTGATTAGGATTGTCTTTGCTATATGGGCTCTTTTTTGGTTTCATATGAAATTTAAAGTAGCTTTTTCTAATTCTGTGAAGACTGTCAGTGTAGTTTGATGGGAATAGCACTGGATCTATAAATTATTTTGGCAGTATGGCCATTTTCACGATATTGATTCTTCCTATCCATGAGGATGAGATGTTTTTCCATTTGTTTGTGTCCTCTCTTATTTCCTTGAGCAGTTGTTTGTAGTTCTCCTTGAAGGGGTCCTTCGCATTCCTTGTAAGGTATTCCTGGGTATTTTATTCTCTTTGTAGCGATGGTGAATGGGAGTTCATTCATGATTTGGCTCTCTGTTTGTCTGTTGTTGGTGTATAGGAATGCTTGTGATTTTTGCATTGATTTTGTATCCTGAGAATTTGCTGAAGTTGCTTATCAGTTCAAGAAGTTTTTGGGCTCCAATGATATAGTTTTCTAAATATAGAATCAGGTCAACTGCAAACAGAGACAAGTTGACTTCCTCTCTTCCTATTTGAATATGCTTTATTTCTTCCTCTTGTCTGATTGCCCTGGCCAGAACTTCTAACACTATGTTGAATAGGAGTGCTGAGAGAGGGCATCCTTGTCTTGTGCTGGTTTTCAAAGGGAATGCTTCCAGCTTTTGCCCATTATGATATTGGCTATGGGTTTGTCATAAATAGCTCTTATTATTTTGAGAAACGTTCCATCAATACCTAGTTTATTGAGGCATGAAGGGTGTTGAATTTTATTGAAGGCCTTTTCTGCATCTATTGAGATAATCATGTGGTTTTTGTCATTGGTTCTGTTTATGTGATGGATTATGTTTATTGATTTGCATGTTGAACCAGGGATGAAGCTGACTTCATCTTGGCTAACTGCAATCTCTGCCTCCCAGGTTCAAGTGATTCTCCTGCCTCAGCCTCCCGATTAGCTGGGATTACAGGCACCCGCCACCATGCCCATCTATTTTTGTAATTTTAGTAGAGACAGGGTTTTGCCATGTTGGCAGGCTGGTCTCGAACTCCTGACCTCAAGTGATCCACCTGCTTGGCTCCCCTAAGTGCTGGGGTTATGGGCATGAGCCACTGTGAGCCACCGTGCCCGGCCAAGTTTCCTTTTTCTTGTTGTGTCTCTGCCAGGTTTTGGTATCAGGATGATGCTGGCCTCATAAAATGAGTTAGGGAGGATTCCCTCTTTTTCTATTGTTTGGAATAGTTTCAGAAGGAATGGTACTAGCTCCTCGTCGTACCTCTGGTAGAATGCGGCTGTGAATCCATCTGGTCCTGGACTTTTTTTGGTTGGTAGGCTATTAATTACTGCCTCAATTTCAGAACTCGTTATTGGTCTATTCAGGGATTTGACTTCTTCCTGGTTTAGTCTTGGGAGGGTGTATGTGTCCAGGAATTTATCCATTTCTTCTAGATTTTCTAGTTTATTTGCACAGAGGTGTTTATAGTATTCTCTGATGGTAGTTTGTATTTCTGTGGGATCAGGGGTGATATCCCCTTTATCATTTTCTATTGTGTCTGTTTGATTCTTCTCCTTTTCTTCTTTATTAGTCTAGTGAAGTGGTCTATTTCCTTAATTTTTTTTTTCAAAAAACTGGCTCCTGGATTCATTGATATTTTGAAGGGTTTTTCGCATCTCCAACTCCTTCAGTTCTGCTCTGATCTTATTTATTGTCTTCTGCTAGCTTTTGGATTTGTTTGCTCTTGCTTCTCTAGTTCTTTTAATTGTGATGTTAAGGTGTCGATCTGAGATCTTTCCAGCTCTCTGATGTGGGCGTTTAGTGCTATAAATTTCCCTCTAACACTGCTTTAGCGGTGTCCCAGAGCTTCTGGTACATCGTCTTTTTGTTCTCATTGATTTCTCCCTTAATTTTGTTATTTACCCAGGACTCATTCAGGAGCAGGTTGTTCAATTTCCATGTAGTTGTGTGGTTTTGAGTGAGTTTCTGAATCCTGAGTTCAAGTTAACATTGTTAAAATGACCATCCTACTCAAAGCAATCTACAGACTCAATGCAGTCTCTGTCGAAATATCCATGACATTCTTCATGGAATTTAAACACACAGAGAAAAACCTTGCACACAAAGCAATACTGGAAAACAAAGAAACAAGCTGGAGGCATCACACTAGCTGACTTCAAAATACACTACTAGGAAGCTACTGTAACATAAAACAGGCTGGTATTGACGTAAAAAGACACATAGACCAATGGGACACAATAGAGAACCTACAGATAAATCTATCTATTTACAGCCAACTCATTTTTGACAAAGGCACCAAGAACATGCATTGGGGAAAGGACATCCCCTTTAATAAATGGTGCTGGGAAAACTAGATATCCATAAGCAGAAGGGTGAAACTAGACCGCTATCTCTTACCATATATAAAAATCCACTCAAAATTTATTAAAGGCTTAAATATTAAGACCAAAAACAATAACTCTACCAGATGAAAACATAGGGGAAATGCTTTGGGACATTGGTCCAGGCAAAGATTTTATGGCTAAGACTTTGAAAGCACAAGTAAGAAAACCAAAATTAGAAAGATTGGAGTATGTTAAACTAAAAACGTTCTGCACAGCTAAGGAAACAATCAACAGAGCAAAGAGACAACCTGCAGAATGGAAAAAAAATATTTGCAAGCTGTTCATTCAACAAGGAATTAATATCCAGGGAACTCAAAACAGCAAAAAACCCAAACAAACCCATTAAAAATTGGGCAAAGGATCTGAATAGACATTTCTCAAAAGAAGTCATACACATGGCAACCAGGTATGTGAAAAAATGTTCAATGTCCCTAATCATCAGGGATGTGCAAATCAAAACCACAATGAGATATAATTTCACCCCAGTCAGAATGGCTATTATTAGAAAGACAGAAAAAAAAAACCCACCATGAAATCTAGTGAAGATGCATAGTAAAGGGAACTCTTACACACTGTTGGTGGGAATGTAAATTAGTACAGCCAGTATAGAAAACAGTATAGATGCTTCTCAAAAAAAAACTAAAACGAGAACTACCATATGATCTAGCAATCCCACTACTGGGTGTTTGTCCAAAGGAACAGAAATCAGTATATCAAAGGGATACCTGTACCCCTATATTTATCACAGCTCTATTCGCAACAGCCAAGATACAGAATCAACCTAAGTGTCCAACAATGGATGGATGAATGGAACGGGACCAAGAAAATGTGCTCTGTATACACAATGGAATACTAGCAGTTATACAAAAACTCAAATCCTGTCATTTGTAGCAAAATGTGCTCTATATACACAATGGAATACTAGTAGTTATACAAAAACTCAAATCCTGTCATTTGTAGCAAAATGGATGGAACTGGATGTCATTATGTTAAGTCAAATAAGCCAGGCACAGAAAGACAAATATTGCATGTTCTCACTCATATGTGGGAGCTTAAAAAGTTGATCTCATGCAGGTAGAGAGGAGAATGGTAGATACCAGAGGCTGGGAAGAATGTGTGTGTGTGGGAAGGGGCGGGATGTGGGGTGCCGGGGGAGGGGGATAAAACAGGTGGGTTAACAGTTACAAATACACAGTTAAATAAAAGGAGGAAGCCGTAGTGTTTGATAGCACAGTAGGAGGCTATAGTTAACAATAATTTATTGTATATTTTCAAATAGCTAGAAGAAAATAATGAAATGTTCCCAACACAAATAAGTGATAACTGAGGTGATGAATCTCCTAAATTCCCTGATTGATCATCACACATTGTATGCGTGCATCAAAATATCACCCATAAATATGTGTAATTATATATCAATATAAAAGAAATACATGTTTAAATAATAGCTTTTTCCTACTTTAAAAAATTACTGAAGGGAACTAATAAAAACCTAAACTAGAGAGAGATACTGTGCTCCTGGGTCAGAACACTCAATACTGTGAAGAGGTCAATCATCTCCAAGTTGCTATAGCTTCAATGCAATCCCAATCAGAATCCTGGTAGACTTCTTTGATAGAAATTTTTTCTACGTAATCCATTTAGAAAGCGACTCTAAAATTTGTATGGAAATGCCAAATACACTGAATAGCCAAAACAACTTTAAAAAATAAGAACAAAGTTGGAAGGTTAACATTACCTAATTTCAAGACCTATTATACATCCACCATAATCAAAACAGTGTGGTATTGGTGTAAAGATAGACAAATAGATCAATGGAACAGAACAGAGTCTAGAAATAGTTGCACATAAATATGGCCAACTAATCCTTGACAAAGGTAATTTAGTAGAGAAATAATAGCTTTTTACAACAAATGATACTGGAAATTTTGGATACTATATTCATACACACACACAAAAAAACACCTAACCTCCCTCAACCTGAAAAAAACTACTTGAGTCCATACATTGCAAAATATACAAAAATTAACTAAAAATTGATCAAAGACCTAAATTTGAAGCCTAAAATTACAAAACTTCTAGAGGAGGCATAAGAAGAAACCTTTTTGGCCTTGGGTTAGGCAAAGATTTCTTAGATGTGACAGCAAAAACATGATTCATAAAAGAACATATAAATTGGACTTCATAAAAAAACAAGTATTTGTTTTTCAAAAGATGCTGTTGAGAATGAAGAGAGAAGCCACAGACTGAGAGAAAATATTTGCAAATACTATATCTTATAAAGGATTTGCATCCAGAATATATTAAAAACTTTCAAAACAATTTTTAAAAGGACAGAAGATTTGAAGGGACATTTCACCAAAGAAGAGGTATGGATGCCGAATGGGCGTGTAGAAGGATGCTTGGCATCATTGGTCATTAGCGAAGTGCAAACTAAAACCACAAGACACTATTACAAACCTACTATGTAAACAGGCAAAACTTAAAAGACTGACCACACCAAATGCTGGTGGGGGTATGGAGGAACGGGAACTCCCCATATAAAATAGTACAAGCACTTTGGGAAACAGCTGAGAAATTTCTTAAAAAGTTAAACATCTACTATATGGTACAGCCATTCCAGTTTTTCTTTTTTTTTTTTTCAAATATTCCCAGACATTGATAAGATTCCAGTTCTAGTATAGGTTTTTACCCCAAAGGAAAGAAAATATATGTCCATATATATATTAGACTGTTTTCATACTGCTATAAATAACTACCTGAGACTGGGTAATTTATGAGGAAAATAGGTTTCATTGACTCACAGTGAAGGAAGACACATCTTCCCATGGCAGAGCAGGAGAGAGAGCGAGTGAGCAGGGGGGAGAGTACCACACACTCTTAAACCACCGGATCTCATAACTCACTATGATGAGAACAGCATGGGGGACATCCATCCTCATGATGTAATCACCTCCCACCAGGTCCCTCCCCCAACACTGGGAATTACAATTCAACATGAAATTTGGGCGAGGACAGAGCCAAACCATATAACCATACAAAGACTTGTGCATGTATGCTCACACAAGCTGAATATCCCTTATCTGAAATGCTTGGAACCAGAGATTTTGGAGTATTTGCATATATCTAATGACATATCTTGGAAATAGGACCCAACGTAAACATTAAATTCATTTATGTTTCATATATACCTTATATACACAGCCTGAAGATAATCTTAGACAATATTTTTGATAATTTTGTACACAAAAAGTTTTTCCTGTGACCTGTCACATGCGGTCAGATGTAGAATTTTCTACTTGTGATGTCATTTGGCGCTCACAAAGTTTCAGATTTGGAGCATCTCGGATTTCGAATTTTCAGATTAGGGATGCTCAACCTTTAGTACTTTTATTTGTAATATCCCCAAACTGGAAACAACAGAAATGTCCATCAAGAGATGAATGGATCGGCCAACTGTGGTATATCTGGGCAGTGGACTATTATGCAGAAATATAAATATATGAACTATTGATACAGGCAATGAAATGATTACATCTCAAAATCATTATGCTAAGTGAAAGAAGCCACACACGAGAGTACCGTCTGCAAGATATGTTTCCTTTTACATAAAATTCTAGGAAATCCACACTAATGTCTAGAAACTGAAAGTAGTTCAGTGGTTCCTGGGTCTGGAGACAGGAAGGAAGAGGAGCTGGAGGCAGGGATTGCAAGGCTCCCGAGGAAACTTTTGGGGGTGAAGAATATATTCATTATCTTGATTGAGGACGGTTTCATAGGCATATACATATGATAAAACATCAAGTTATATGATTTAATATGTACAGTTTATTGTAGCTCAGGTATATCTCATTAAAGTTGTTAAAAAACAACAAAAAAAAAAAAAAAAAAAAAAAAAACTTGCTCACGATCCTGCAGCCAGTAGTAGAGCTAGGATTCAAACCACAGACTGACTGCAAGACCTGAGCTCTCAACTACATCCTGCGGCCTCCATCAGCTCCACGAAGCAGCCGGAGAAGGCCGCCTTTTTGCCCCAGGCCCCACTCTTCCAGAGAGGCGTGTCTCTGGGTACATCACCCACTCCTTGGCTGTCTCCCTTCCCCCCGCCTCAATCCCAGGCAGCAGCGGAATGCTGCTCCTCCAGGCCTCTGGATCCCTATCTTTCCAGGCGGCCCAGCTTACAGCCTCATACCTGGCCTGCCTCCTGTTACTGCCAGGACAGCAACTCTTCCCTCTGCCTTTCCCTACTCTGCACAGAAGGAAAATGGCAAAGGCAGAGATGGAAACTTCCCAAAGCTGTTGTGGAGGCCAAGTAATTTGGGGCAAGATTGAAAGGTGTTGGTACAAAAAGCGAGCAGAGCGTGTGGGACCCGCGTGTGTCTGGACCATTGCAGGTGGCACTCGGGGTGCGTGGGAGGGATCTAGGCATCCACGCGTCTGCAGAAGAGCCCGAAGGACAAGGCTGATGCAGCACTGCTCATGCTGTAGGATGAAAATATTCGGCAACCACTGTCCTAAGGCTAATCTGCCTCCACCCCTTCCTATCCTCAAATTCCATATCTAGTACTGAGAAAAAAAGGTGAGAAATACTTAAAGAAAGCATTGCAATTCCAGCTCTCCAGCTACTGGCACGTCTATGGCAAAGAACTTTTTACATTAAGGATGTTATATTTTGTTTCTCTTCAACTATTCCCAGTAAAACCCCTTTAAGGGGAAGATATAATGTGTCACTTCTGTTTTATGCTATTTTGTACCCTGCAAGCTTGGGTCACAGCAGCGTGCTATGGAAATAGTTATTTTTAAAGCAAAATATCATCTGTTTTGCAGCCTAATTATATAGACAGGAGAAGCTCAGATATTCCACATGCACCACAGATTAAAGGGCAAAGACAGAGACCAATTCTGACTCTAACAGTCCATTTGATGTAATGGAATAAAATGGATAATGTACATGTAGTAAAACAGAACACAAGAACAAAAGGCACAGTTTAGACTGTGCTGAGGATGATAATATAAAATACCTATAATTATACCTGCGTGACTCAAAGTAAGAGTCACATTTAGACAATGGAAAATCTACTCTCTGCTCCGTGCCTATTGGAGTTGCCGTAGGCACAGAATTGTGAATTTCACACATGGTGCTTAACTTGAAATAGTACAAGGTGAGTCAGCACAGGCCACTTGCTATTATCAAGAATTTCCATCACTTCCGGCGGCTGGGGAGAAAGTGTAGTTACACAGCAAATGAACACAATAGGTGATAATTAATAGCAGGTAAGAAGCAGGTTCCTCACTGACTTTCCAGATTTTGAGGTCAAGACTGCAGGGTTAAAGGAACACAACTCAGTCTGCCTTGAGTAATCCTTTAGTTATATTCTAATATGCAATATTTTAAGTCTAGACTTTGACCAAACCAAATTACCCACATGCCTTATTCTACCCACAGGAAACAATATAATAACGTCTCCTACGCCTGAGCCACACTTTATTAAGCACCTGGAAGGTAGCAGGAAATCCTAAATTCTCCTAATATCACTTAATTCCTATAATATCCCACAATGCAGAAATTAGCCCCATTTTACATATAAGGAAACTGAGGCTCATAGAAGTTAAATAAATCACCCAAGATCTCATAGAAAATTAATGCTAAATCTAAGATGAAAATCCGAAGCTAACCAGAAAGCATGCAGAAGCTCTTTTAACTCGCCTTCCCGCACCGTCGTAGTTCCTCCCAAACTTTGCTGCCCGTTGGAATCACCCTGGAATCTTTCAAGAAATATTGACGTCTGGTTCCCACTCCCAGCCTTTCTAATTTAATTGGGCTGGAGGGCAGCACGCACTCTGGGATGCGTTTAAAAGCCCTCCAGGTGAGTCTAATGTGTAGCTAAGTTTGGGAGCCACTGCCTTACCACCTGGCCAGGTTCAGCAATGCTCTGGGTCACCTGCATAAGAAGTTCTGCCTGACGCCCACAGCACGCTGAGGGCTCGTGGTTAGTGGAGGCTGTGGTCTAGTTTGTGCACTTTTGCTCCAAAAAGAATCAGCTGCATAGTTCTTAATAGGTCAGCTGTGTTTCCTCCTAAATTGGTTTCTGCCCCTTGTTATTTTAAATAAAAACATAAAATACTGTATAAGCCAATGAAATGATTTTGTAAAGAGAGTTAATGTTTTTATAAAAACTCAACTCAATGCTTTGAAAAGATGTGATAAAAAATGAGGATTTTTTGGACGGGTACCATGGCTCACACCTGTAATCCCAGCACTTTGGGAGGCCAAGGCAGGTGGATCGCCTGAGCTCAGGAGTTTGAGAGCAGCCTGGGCAAAATGGTGAAACCCCATCTCTACAAAAAAATATAAACTATTAGCCAGGCATGGTGGTGCGCACCTGTTGCCCCAGCTACGTGGGAGGCTGAAGTGGGAGGATCACTTGAGCCTGGGAGGCAGAGGTTGCAGTGAGCCAAGATAGCGCCACTGCACTTCAGCCTGGGTGACAGAGTGAGACCCTGTCTCAAAAAAAAAAATTTTTTTTAACGATGTTGAATTTTGTGTGAATGAGGAATTATAGAGTGGAAAATACTGTAAGAATCTAGAAAAAGTCTATACCCAGTTGGTTGTAAAGTGTTTTTTTAAGCTCTTAAATCTCTTTGAAGAAATTCAAAGCAAAAACTGAACTGTTAATACGAATGTGGTTCGTGGAAGTCAAATTAATTGAATTGAAAACTCAAAGAGAGAGCCTTGGCCCTTTGTGGTTCGTAAGATCAATGAATAAAAATACATTTGTATTATTTAATTTCAGATAACACCTTTATGAATACATCATTTTCTATAATTCCCCCTCTAACATACTTGCCCAGTCAGCTGACTGCCTCCTGACTCTGTTGCGTTGTGAGGCTTCTCTGACCTAATACCATCTGCTTACGTGAAAGGTAATTGGGTGGTCTTACTCTTCCCGAATCACAGCTCTACTAGATAACACAGAGATTAATTTTTATTTTATTTTTCATTTTTTGTTTTTGAGATGGAGTCTTGCCCTGTCACCCAGGCTGGAGTGCAGTGGCGTGATCTCAGCTCACTGCAAGCTCCGCCTCCCAGGTTCAAGTGATTCTCCTGCCTCAGCCTCCCGAGTAGCTGGGACTACAGGCGCCCGCCACCATGCCTGGCTAATTTTTGTATTTTTAGTAGAGACGAGGTTTCACTACGTTGGCCACGCTGGTCTTGAACTCCTGACCTCAAGTGATCCTCCGGCCTCAGCCTCCCAAAGTGCTGGGATTACAGTGTGAGCCACCACGCCCAGCCCAGAGATTCTTTTTTTTTTTTTTTTTTTGAAACAGTTTCCCTCTATTGCCCAGGCTGGAGTGCAGTGGCGCCATCTCGGCTCACTGCAACCCTGTAACCTCTGACTCCTGAGTTCAAGCAATTCTCCTGCCTCAGCCTCCCAAGTAGCTGGGATTATAGGCACCTGCCACCACACCTGACTAATTTTTGTAATTTTAGTAAAGAGGGGGTTTCACCATGTTGGCCAGGCTGGCCGAGGTGGGTGGATCACCTGAGGTCAGGAGTTCGAGAGCAGAGAATCATTTTTAAAACCACAGCACACATTTCATTTGGACAAAGGAGACCTGAGCACTGACGCAGCGGACACAGCCCCAGCACTGTGGCACTCTGTCTCAAGGAACCCATAGTCTAATAGGGCTTGGACAAGCTCACCAACAGCACGCAGCAGACACAGCCCCAGCACTGTGGCAGTCTGTCTCAAGGAACCCATAGTTTAATAGGGCTTGGACAAGCTCACCAACAGCACGCAGCAGACACAGCCCCAGCACTGTGGCACTCTGTCTCAAGGAACCTATAGTCTAATAGGGCTTGGACACTGATGCAGTGGACACAGCCCCAGCACTGTGGCACTCTGTCTCAAGGAACCTATAGTCTAATAGGGCTTGGACACTGATGCAGTGGACACAGCCCCAGGACTGTGGCACTCTGTCTCAAGGAACCTATAGTCTAATAGGGCTTGGACAAGCTCACCAACAGCACGCAGCAGACACAGCCCCAGCACTGTGGCACTCTGTCTCAAGGAACCTATAGTCTAATAGGGCTTGGACAAGCTCACCAACAGCATGCAGCGGACACAGCACCAGCACTGTGGCAGTCTGTCTCAAGGAACCCATAGTTTAATAGGGCTTGGACAAGCTCACCAACAGCACGTAGCAGACACAGCCCCAGCACTGTGGCACTCTGTCTCAAGGAACCTATAGTCTAATAGGGCTTGGACACTGATGCAGTGGACACAGCCCCAGGAGTGTGGCACTCTGTCTCAAGGAACCTATAGTCTAATAGGGCTTGGACAAGCTCACAAACAGCACACAGCAGACACAGCCCCAGCACTGTGGCACTCTGTCTCAAGGACCCTATAGTCTAATAGGGCTTGGACACTGACGCAGCGGACACAGCCCCAGCACTGTGGCACTCTGTCTCAAGGAACCTATAGTCTAATAGGCCTTGGATACTGACGCTGCGGACATAGCCCCAGGACGGTGGCACTCTGTCTCAAGGAACCTATAGTCTAATAGGGCTTGGACAAGCTCACAAACAGCATGCAGCAGACACAGCCCTGGCACTGTGGCACTCTTTCTCAAGGCACCTATAGTCCAATAGGGCTTGGACTAGCTCACAAACAGCCAAAATATAAGGCGGAGTAAGGCAAAAGCATAACATCCCCCACACTGCTGAAATTCAAAGAAGACATTACAAAGAGGGGAATCTGACGTCTTTGTTGAGGAGGCGATCGGAGAGGAGCGTGGCAGAGGCAAGGTGCCATTGTGGTTCCTTTCCTTTCCTTTTCCCTCCCTCCCTGCCTCCTTCTCTTCCTTCTGTAACCCTGACTTTGGTGGGAGGAAAGGCTGAAAACATAAGCATGAAAAGACCACTGAGGGGGTCCCAATTGGTGAGGTCCCAGAAGAGGCAGAAGGGGCAGGAGGAAGAATGCCAGGAGACGGGAGCAGCAGGCCTGTGGGAAGGAGCAGGGGGGAAACTGAGGTAAAGGGACCAGGAGACTATGAAACCAAAAGAAGAGAAGTTGAGGAATGCACCAGGTCAGCTCTGTCTTCTCATTGACTAAGATGCTAGTTACCTGCTGAGAGTGGCCAGGAGGCTTGAGAAGATTAGAAACGGAGGCGGTGATGGGAATTCCAGGCTGCACTCTTCAGAATAGTGTCTCCTGGCCAACATTTAAAAACATATAGATTACAAAAACCTAAAAAGATGAAACTGCCACTTCATTATTGACCAAGCGGGAGATGAGAGCCCTGTAGTGTGTGGACATCCTTGCTGCACAGGGCTTCGCTGCTGGGGACAGCAGGGGACTGGCTGTGGCTCCATTAGAAGCAAGGTTCTTTCCTAAGCCTCTTTTCCCACATCTGCCACCCAAAGAATGGATCTCCAGAGTCATATCCACCACACAGCCCTAAATACAGCATTAGTTGATTTAAGCCATTCCATGACATGTAAAGAAAACATTTGCATTGTCAAAAGAAAGCAGATTAGGCTAGGTATGGTAATCCCAGCACTTTGGGGAGGCCGAGGTGGGTGGATCACTTGAGGTCAGGAGTTCGAGACCAGCGTGGCCAACATGGTGAAACCCCGTCTCTACTAAAAAACACAAAAATTAGCCAGGTGTTGTGGTGGACGCCTGTCATCTCAGCTACTCAGGAGGCTGAGGCAGGAGAATCGCGGGGAACCCAGGAGGTGGAAGTTGAAGTGAGTTGAGATTGCGCCACTGCACTCCAGCCTGGGTGACAGTGCGAGACTCAGTGTTAAAAACAAACAAACAAACAAACAAACAAAAAAACAGATTAAAGAGTCTGATGAGATGTGTAGACAGATGAGTGTAGCACAGATGTGTGCCCATGTGCACATACATTTGTGTGCGCACACAGCAGCCCAGCCTACAAAGCCCTCTAATCCTCCCCACAGAGGCAATAAAGAGAATGAACAAATCAGAGACCCGGTGTCATTGTGGACCTTGAGCAACAGTTGCTTGCATGCTTAGATTACTCATAAAAGTGGGGCTTTTGAAATTATCTTTGTCAACAGGACAGGTGCGATCTCCGTATCATTAGCGCATTACCCTGAAGTATCACTAGTCCACGCTGAGCATCCCTAACCCAAAAAATCTGAAATCCAAAATACTCCAAGAATCTCAAACTTTTTGAAGGCCAATATGATGCCACAAGGGGAAAATTCCACACCTGACCTCGTGAGGGGTTGCAGTCAAAATGCAGTAAAAACTTTGTTTCATGCACAAAATTATTGAAGATATTGTATAAAGTTACCTTCAGGCTATGTCTATAAGGCATATATGAAACATACATGAAATCTGTATTTAGATTTGGGTCCCATTCCCAAGGGATCATTACATATGCAAATATTCCAAAATCGGAAAACAATCTGAAATCTGAAACACTTCTGGTCCCAAGCACCACCTTGTTTTAGGTGCCCAGTACACGCGTCGTTATGAGAAGCAGCTCTCTGATCAGTAGGGCTTCAGGGTCTGTTTCCCAGTGCTGGGATTCCCGAGGAGGCTCTCAAGCTATTACAGATTTAGCTTCGCAAAGCAGAGGAAGGCCTCCATGAGGCTGAAGGATCAGTCCCACTAATTCCAATGAGCTTTTAAACAGGGAGATATTTTAAGCTTAACCTAGTGCTATCTGCAAAACAGGGATACATCAACAAAGACTTTTCTATTTTGACTGGAAATGTTTAAAACTTTTTTTTGTCTGTCTACTTATATGTGTAAAATGCATTTGTGTGTAAAATTATAAATGTAAGATGCATTTGTGTGTAAAATGTATAAAATGCATGTGTGCATATGAGATTCAGAGGCGCACACAGAGTCTATTTAGTTCTTGCGGCAGAGATCTCTTCTAATGGCTTCCCTGCAGGGTGACTAATTAATAAACTTTCCCCTAATTGAGTTCTGGCTGCCAGGTCCGCAGGGATTATTACTTATATGTAAGTAAACAAAATTTCCATTTTAAACAACCCTCCAAATCTCCTCATTATATTTTAAACAGTTATAAATTCACTGAAGTCAAGTGAGTCCCAGGCGGGGAGGCCGTGTGCATTCTGGCCGGGATCCTTTCCCCTCGGGAGGGAAGAGATGTCCCCCAGGTCTGCCGATCGCACGACCCCTGGACTCCTTCCCCTTCTTTGTTCTCATCCACTGAAACATTAGGAAGGACCTAACCGAGGTTTTGGAAACCATTCGTGGTATTTGCCCTTTCTTTTAACCTGAATGCATTATTTAAAAGCAATTCTCTTTCACAACTTAAAAATAGGAAGAAGATGAGCTGGCTATTAAATATTTAATAAGGGTGCAGGATTCCTTAGGTACTGATTTGGGGTGGATCACTGGGTTTAGGGAATGTCTTGGCCTAAACTTTTGTGGAATCTGAATTTCAAGTTCTTATATTTGAAGTCATTTAATGAACTGTTTCCTTGTTTTCAAGATTTCTCCCTACTTTCAGATTCCAAATCGAAAGCAGAACTGCAAAAAAGAAAAAAAGTACAAAACCGAAAACAGAGTTGTCCTCAGTTTGGTTTGAAACCTGGAAGGAGGAGAGATAATCCCATCTCCCAAGTTTTTCTGATCAGTGCCATTTGGGAGTCATTTGGCTCAAGGGTTAGATGTTTTGCGAGTCACTCTTTACTGAAAGTACAAGAAAGTCCTGCAGGCTCTGATGATGATGATTACTGACAGCTGCTTAAAAGAATAAACTAAACATTTGTCAGACTCTTACATTGACAGGGTGAAGACACTACCCAGGAGAAAACAGTGAGGGCAGGGTTCAAGGCCAACTCCCACACAGTCAGGAGAAATGTGGATGCAATTGTGCTGTCGATTTTAAAGGTCTGCATCTCCTCATCCCTATCCGATTTTAAAGGTCTGCATCTCCTCATCCCTATCCGATTTTAAAGGTCTGCATCTCCTCATCCCTATCCGATTTTAAAGGTCTGCATCTCCTCATCCCTATCCGATTTTAAAGGTCTGCATCTCCTCATCCCTATCCGAATGCGTTTCCTTCTTTAAGAACGTGATTCTAAACGGAAGCGCTCTACATGGTGTGAGCCTGTTACCAAGAATACATCTCCCGAGAGATTCCCGTTCACTATCCTCGGCTCCTCTCCAGTGAGACTTTGCTCACCATCATGGGCTGTCGAGAGAGCTGCCCTCAAGCTAATGGGCCACTTCCCTGGGGCGCCTCGCCCGCTGTAAGTGAGGACCAGAACCTCTCGGTTCTTCACAGCAGCCACTGGAGGCAGCTCAGGGCTGATTTTCAGAGCCATAAAAAGCAGCCCCAGTTAGAGGAACTCCAGCCCCAGCTGTGGATATTTTCATTCTGTCCTGGTGGTAGGGTAGGAACCAAGCCTCCAGGCCCAGTCAAAACTGAAGGAGAGGCCAGGTGCGGTGGCTCACGCCTGTAATCCCAACACTTTGGGAGGCTGAGGCGGGTGGATCACGAGGTCAGGAGTTCAAGACCATCCTGGCCAATATGGTGAAACTCCGTCTCTACTTAACGTACAAAAATTAGCCAGACATGGTGGTGGGCACCTGTATTCCCAGCTACTCAGGAGGCTGAGGCAGGAGAATCGCTTGAACTCGGGAGGCGGAGGTTGCAGTGAGCCGAGATCACGCCACTGTACTCCAGCCTGGGCAACAGAGTGAGTGAGACTTCATCTCAAACAAACAAAAAAACTAAAGGAGCAGGCAGAACAGGCAGCAGGAACCAGAAGAAACAAGAGACGCGTGCTGCAGCATGGGGGAGTCTCAAATGCATTAGGACACTACGTGAAAGAAGCCAGACACAAAAGGCCACATCTGGGCCACACGAGTCCATTCCCACGATATCCTGGATAAACGCAAAACCAGGACAACAATCAGATCCGTGGTTGCCAGGGGCTAGAGGTCAGGGGAAGGGACAAACGGCAAGAGGGAACTTTAGCCTTATGCTCTATTTTGATAATGGTGGTGGCTACATGACTGTATAGATTGGCCAAAACTCATCTAAAGACACATCAAAGTGATGTTTTGGTGAATGTACCTTATACTGCAATAAACCTGGATTTTAACAACAGTAACTAAAGAGTAGGAAGAGAGGCACCGAGGTGGGGGAAGGGAGGCGCTTTTGCCTGGGGACAGCAGAAGCCCGCAAAGAGCTCTCTCCCCAGGAGTACTGTTGTCCAGGTCTTTTGAGCCACGAGGAGGCTTAGGGGAAATCAGGGGGAGCCTGTCCATAGATCCCAGCTGGAAGTCTTTTTATTTTTATTTTCTGAGACAGAGCCTTGCTCTGTCACCCAGGCTGGAGTGCAGTGGCACGATCTGGGCTCACTGCAACCTCCGCCTCCTGGGTTCAAGCAATTCTCCTGCCTCAGACCCCCAACTAGCTGGGAGGTGTGTGCCACCACGCCCAGCTAATTTTTTTATTTTTAGTAGAGACGGGGTTTCTCCATGTTGGCCAGGCTGGTCTCAAACTGCTGACCTCAAGTGATCTAACCACCTTGGCCTTCCAAAGTGCTGGGATTACAGGTGTGAGCCACCACGCCTGGTCCTACTTGGATGTCTTCATTCTAGGCTTCATCTACAACAGCTTTGCGGACCATCTCTGCTTTACTCAATGAGCTTTACAATTTCCAGTCCAGGGTTAGACTCTTAACTCAGTTTTCTGATTGTTTTTCTGGCATCCAGTGTCTTTGAGACAATCATGCAGAAAGCGCTGGGAGCCAGTTGCCTGTGTATTGAAAGCCCGGCAGAGCGGGACATGGAGGAACCACGGAAGCCACTGCCCGGCCAGCCCAGCAGCCCCGTTACCCACAACCTGCCTTAGGAACCCAGTGAAATCAACAGACCACTTTGCCCCTGGTCCAAGATCCCCACTGGAGACATTCAGCTGATCTGGTGCTCAACTCTTTTGGGCATAGAGTAAACACTACTTCACAGAAGGCAGAGAATTGCACCCCAGCCCGGGCTGACTTTGGAAACACAGCCAAGAGGGGTCTGTAGGGGCACAGTGTTGGGTTCCTGGCAGGGCAGCTCACTCGAAGAGCAGGCACCGTACCTGGGTTTTGACAGTAAACCTTCACTGACGATTTGAGGGAGGCAGCCAGGGTCTGGGTAGTTATTCAAAAGTCTGATTTCTATGCTATTTTAAAAAACATGGTCCATACAGTGGCCTCGAGCTAATGATGATAACACACTGCCGGAGTGCTTTGGTGGATAAATGTTGGTCTTTCTTGAGGAGCATTTTTGAGGTCTGTGAACAAAAAGATACTGTCAGGCAGTTGTTTTCTTTTTGTAACTTTGACCTCTCACATTCTCATGGCAATGACATTTGTAAATTACCTTTACCAAAGCAAACTCCTTTCCCTGGACAGTTCAAAAGTGAACTTCAGCCCAGATACTATAATTATCTTGAATTACGAGTCACTGAACTGCATATTGTAGTCTATTAAGAAAAGTTTGGCTAGGCATGGTGGCTCATACCTTTCATCCCAACACTTTGGGAGATCAAGGCAAGAGGATCTCAAGACCGGGAGTTCTAGACCAGCCTGGGCAACATAGCAAGGTCCCATCTCTACAAAGATAACCAAATAAATAGCTAGGTGTGGTGGCATGAGCCTGTAGTCCCAAGCTACTTGGGAGACTGAGGCAGGAGGATCACTTGAGCCCAGGAGTTTGAGGCTGCAGTGAGCTGTGATCGTGCCACTGCACTGCAGCCTGGGTGACAGAGCAAGACCCTGTCTCTCTCTCTCTCTCTCTCTCTCTCACACACACACACACACACACACACACACACACACACACACACACACACACAAAGGTCATGGTTGCCCAAGGGATTTCTGGCTGGGGCCAGAGCCGCTAAGGAGGCAGGAGGGTGGAGTGGCCGACTTACTTCCCCCTTTCCCGCTCTTCTCCATCCGGTACTGGTAGATGTGCAGTGTGAAGAACACGTGTGAGTTGCGGTGGTCGTCCTCATCACAGTCCTGTTGGTGGCTCCTGCGGGAGGCAATGGCGGCATCCAGGAAAAAGGCAGCCTTCTCTGCGGTGGGGGCCCGCAGCTCGCTCTGGTTCTGCAGCTGGAAGACAGAAGCCAAGAGATGAGGCTGCAGGCTGAGGAGGGCTTGCTGTCACTCATGCCTGGGTGTCCCCAGCACCATTCAGCTGGCTGTGTGTTCTGTATAGTAAAGCCACGTGCCCCTCTAAGGCTGAAAACCCTTCTGAAACAAGGTGCTATGCTCATGTGCAATTCTCAGCTTAATTAATTCATTTCTGAAAATTAATATTGAGCATACTTATTGGATGAAACCTATTTTTACCTACTTTACAGTCTAAGTAGAATCTGGAACTAGTGGGTGTGAAAAGCTGGGAGCAGATGGCTCATCCTTATCTCTGCAGAGGGCGGCAAACCAACACCCCTGGCTATCCATTTACCTAAGAAAACAGGAGCGATGTGACTGCATCTTGAGTCCAAAGATTAGATTGTTTGGAGACAGGTAGGTTGCAAAATGTGATTTGAGGCCTCATAGCAGTGGTGTCCCAAAGATGTAAAAAAACTTGGTTAGCTTTCATTTGACTCCTAGTTTTGCAGTTATTTAATTAAAGCCAATTTTAGGCCATATTTACTAGCATAGTTATAAATAAGAAACCAGTGTAAAGGGCACCCTCAAACACTCACGATACTTGAATGTCTCATCTAAATTTAGGAGATACCTATTTACCTTTAGTTCCTGAATCCATGCTCCCGGCATACTCATTAATTGATTAAAGAAAGCACACAGGGTAATGCGTCTGAATCTTATGAAAATACTTGGCAATTATTTTAAACCTGAATCACAACGATCACATTAACAGAATTGAACCAGCACTCCTCTTTTTGGGGAGAAAAGGCAACTCATGTTTCTGATTTGTTCAAAGAACTAATTTGCAGTACATGTCTTAAGGTTGGTACAAATTCTGACAATTTTCTACTCTAACTATACAAATAATTTTGAACTGTAAGAGCCAATATTTAGAACCTGAGGCCATCAAAATCCTCAGACTTCAAAGAGAGATTCTTTTGTGTTCAAAATTTTGTCTCGCTATGGAAAAATAAACCAAAGAATTTAAAAGATTTTTCAACAAGAATTAAAGGGAATATTGGTCTTTTCTTCTTTTTCTTAGCCTTCATTTAACCAGACTTTTCACCCCTTAGTGGAATTTCATCAATGAAGTTCTAAAAATGAATGGGGGTGAAAGCATATTTGAATGTCTAGAAAATGCCTGGAACAGGAGCAGTGGGTCGAGTCCTACTGATTGCATCACAGACACTGTGTAGATACTGTCTCTGCACATTTGATGCCTCAGAACAGTGATTTCCAACTGTGATCCCTGGACCGGCAGCATGAGCATCTCATGGGAACTTGTTGGAAATGCACATTTTGGAGCTCTACTCTAGACCTACTGAATTGGAAACTCTGGGGGGGTGCCCAGCGATCAGTGTTTAAACAAGTCCTCGAGGTGACAGATGCAGACGAAAGAGGACTCAGGGAAATGGAGGGATCTGAGGTGCTTTAAGCAGGGGAAGAGCATGGTCAGGTTTGAGTAATGAGTATAACAGGCCACGGGAGGTATCCTCACCTGTGCAAACAATCCCAGTTGGGAAGAGGCAGGTACTTATCAAACGGAACACCTATCTACAAAAGGAGGCATCTGACAACACGGGAAAATAAAGCCTACTGTTAGAGACTGGAAGGATTGATTATTCTGGATATGAATGAATTGCAGCTCCCGGGTCATTCCTACATCTGTTGTCAAACAGCAAAGGAGAGACCCTCCCAACAGGCTTAGCATCCTGAAATGGTGAACTGGAGCTTCTCTTGGCTTCCATAGTTCTAGCAATTATATCACGGTTCTAATTAGAAAGTGGTTATTAGTTTTTCCTGCAGCACTGCTAATCCGGCTGTAAACCAGTGCCAGAAGCACAGTTTATAGAGTCATCAACAGCCCCGTAATGGCTCTAGCTATTTGTGCAGAGCAGTAAATATTCCGGTTTGTTGTTAAACAAAAGAAAGATTGTTACTTTTTTTTTTTGAAAGGGGCATAAAGAAAGTGAATTCCATTTCTCCCCCAAATGCTGTAATTGTGGTCCCTGCTCATTGTCAATTAGAGTCAAGGTACAAATATTTAGACTGGGCAAGCCGATGGCCCCACAGCTGCAGGCCATAAAGTTCCAGTCCACTTTAAAGTAAACACCCGTAAGCCTCTGAGTTTACAGGTTCAGTGATTCACGGGTGGAGCTGCCCCAGCCTCTGAGGTGGGGAGGGAGCCACCTTGGGGCGAGCCAGGCTTCAGAAGCAATCACCTGCGTGCCGCAGATGGGGTCCTCACAGAGGTACACGCCCGGGGACTGGCCGTCCTGCAGGCTGCCCGTGGCCACCTCCGACAGCAGGTCCCGCAGGTTCTCCTCCTTCCCCCACACTTCCACGGCGGAAACCCGGACTGAGAAACGGGCGCCGGTCTTTTCCTTGCGTTCGTTTATGAGCTTGAAGAGCCAAGAGATGGCACAGGGAATGATGCCCAGGTTCTGCATGGAATCATCCTTTCCGATCATGGTGTAGGATTTTCCTGGGAGAACCAGGGAAGGAAGAAAAGCAGGTTCAGTGTCCAGGCATCATTCCACGGAGTCTCCAAAATAGATGCCAAGGATATAGAAGAAAGGCACAGGGAAGGGGGGAAAAGGGAAGAGAAGGAACAAAAAGATGAGAGAAATAGTATTTGACAACAACAGAAGGCATTTTCTGGTATTACTAACTAAATGGCTACAATAAAGAATGCTGGTTGGGCTCAGTGGCTCATGCCTGTAACCTCAGCACTTTGTGGGGGCCAAGATGGGAGGATTGCTTGAGGCCAGGAGTTCCAGGCCAGTCTGGGCAACATACGGAGACCCTGCCTCTATGAAAAATTTTTAAAAATTATCTGGGTGTGGTGGGGCATGCCTGTGGCCCCAGCTACTTGGGAAGCTGAGGCGAGAGGATCACTTGAGCCCAGGAATTGGAGGTTACAGTAATCTATGAGCATGCCACTGTACTCCAGCCCAGGCAACTGAGAGCCATCTCTTAAAAAAAAAAGAAACAAAGCAAGAGCCCAGACATGTGACAAGATTAAATCACCATGTACCTTGAGGAGGACCCCAAATATCACATGCTATCCAGTTCCTGCACTGCTTTACACACAGTGGGAAGGCTGGGCTTTTTCATCATCATTATGGTTCTTTTTATAGTTACCCCCCAGATTAAGTCCACATATTCACACTTTATATCCTGTCTCAAGTTAAATGCTGTGTATATTTTTATGGCATGAGCAAATTCTATTAAAACCCAGATCACTGCTTACATCAAGATCAAGAGAAAGGGCTGGGGAGGACGGAAGTGCAGAGAGAGGCAATGGCTTTCTGTCCTGGCTGAGAACTGGCCTCTGTGAGCTCCAGCAAGGCCTCTGTTGGAATCTCTGCCAAGGGACAGTTTTTGAAGCTCCTCAATTCACTAAACATATCAAGCGTGTAAGGGCAAGGCCTGGGGAGCAGATGGCCACAGGTCAGAAGTAAGATGGGACTGTGGGGGGATTTATGAACCCCTTGTTGGGGGGCTCTGCTGCCTCCTTTCCCAGACGCTTCAGCGCTGGAGTGTTCCCGACGGTGTGCACTGCTTTCTCCAGACGCGCCCTGGGCTCTGGGCTTTGCTTGGAGGTTGCTCCTCTGGCTTTTACAGGGGTCCAACCACCAACCCACATCCTCATGGGTGCGGTGGTGCAAGGGGCCCTATCTGCTTCCCAAACAGCGGCTGCTCAGGAAATGAATATTTTCCTGCCTGCCTTCTGGGCTTGACTCTGACCTGGACCAAGTGGGAACAACTCTGCTACTTCTCTTTCCATCTATTTGGACTTGAAGGCTTTCCTACATGAATGGGTGTCCACCTACAATGAACAACATAGGTTTTCGTCGTATAACTTGTTATTGGTTATTCAGCTCAACACCTAAGAGAAACGCAGCCCTTCCTGTCATCAGAGAACTCTGGGAGGGAGACAGAGGAATGCATGGGATGACAGGGAGCTCAACGAGCCGCATGAGAAAGTGAAACTCTCACGAACCCAGTTTGGCGTGGCCGAAACAGAACACGCAGCCATCTGCCCCGTTGACCACAGACTGGATCACCTCTGCCACGGTGCCTGCACACACTTCAGCCTGTCAGACACAAGAGGAGACACGAGCCGTGAATGGACCTCGCAGCGGAGACACCACTAACAACGAAAGTGAGCCCACCTTCCTGGGGCTTCGGGTCCCAGTGTCACTGTGTTCCCAGGTGGGTTGGCCTCTGTCGTGAAGTTTTGGAGATGCTCAGAACCCCTGGCGACCTTCCGCCCTTTGCAAGCCTGAGCATTATGCACATGCACTGCAAACCACCCTTCTGCTAATCCGTGGTACGTTTCAGCGAATGCGTCTGTAGAGCAGGCAGGAGCAGGCTGGAATGGGGGCACAGTGTGCTCATGAACCTCATTCCCTTCCCTCATCTGCCATTCTGGGGTCCCGGATAAGGTCTTTAAACTCTCCACTCACCCTCTGCTGACACACGTATACATAGAGTTTATTAAACAGGCCAGGCTTATGAGAGGGAAAAAGGTGACCCACCATTTCACAAGTGAGACCTTGAGAAACACCGTAGTTCTCACGTAAGCAAGAGGTTTGTGATATATATCTGCTTTCTCTCCTGATCTCTTTCCTCATTTTCAATTCACACCTTCCTCATTTTTTTTTTTTTTTTTTTTTTTGAGACGGAGTTTCAGTCTCGTTGCCCAGGCTGGAGTGCAATGGTGCGATCTCAACTCACTGCAACCTCCGCCTCCTGGGCTCAAGTGATTCTCTTGCCTCAGCCTCCCGAGTAGCTGGGATTACAGGCATGTGCCACCATGCCTGGCTAATTTTTTGCATTTTTTTAGTAGAGAGGGGGTTTCACCACGTTGGTCAGGCTGGTCTCAAACTCCTGACCTCAGGTGATCCACCCGCCTCGGCCTCCCAAAGTGCTGGGATTACAGGCGTGAGCCACTGCGCCCGTCCCATGCTCCTCTTTTCAAAACCTGCCTTTTCTTCCTTTTGCTACAGATACATTCAACATATAGAGTATCAGTCACCACATGGTATGTTATTAGGTGTTCTTTGGCCGGGTGTGTGTGTCTGGTCTCCAATTTGATTATTAAATCCTAGACAGGGACCAGGCTCTCGATGATGTTTTGTATTTCCCCTGAACACCCGCTAATACAGAGCTCTGCGAGCCATCAGAGCTGTCGGTTTTGTGGACTAACTTGGAGATCTGGGAAATGTCCTTCTCTTTGTTTAGCACCTGAGACTTGTCACAGAAGCAGAAAGATAGCATTATTCGCTGTGCCCTGTTGCTTTCATTTCTGTCTCGGGGCCGGAGTCAGGGCTCGTGGGAGCTCCGGGAGGCAGTGCTAACATGGGGCTTTGCAGCCCTCGGGGCAGCGTGCCTCCCGGTGGGCACCTGGGCCGTGAATGTTGTTATTCAGCAGCACAGTGAACCCAAGTATTTGGAAATCAGTTTTCTCTCCTAAACTAAAATTGAAAAACCACACTTCCAACAGCTGTCACTTGTTCCAGGGTGGTCCCCAGCAACTCTGCGGGGGGCGGGGGGCTCCTCCTGGGCCAGAGGGGGTGGCAGGACAGGGCTGCTGTAGGGCACACAGGATCTTTCAAACCCCCCAGGACTTAGGCAAGGAGAGCCCAGTGCTAACCCTGAGACAGAAGCAGTAGCGTCTTGATGGAATTTGCCAGAGGCGTGTCTGCAGAGCAGGCAGAAGGCTGCCCAATGGACTAAGCCTTCTTTGGACATAAAGTGGGATGGGAGGCAGGAGGCTGAGAAATCACCTTGAGCTATACATAAAATAAGCTGTATTTGATTCTTGAGCCACCTGGGAGAATGTTGGCTGTGTGTGGACCACACTGAGTCACCCGTGCAGAGGCCGGGGGCGAGAGGAGACCTGCTGTGCAGAGTTGGGGCGGCATCCCCTGGCACAGTTCCCACCCGGCTCTCCACTGAGAAGAGCGTGGTCAGCGGGCTGTCCATCTGGTGTGTGTTAAGAGCTGGCAGGGGCCCCGGAGGCCCCTTGCTGCTTCCCCTGGGACC